>NC_000003.12:127644967-127796483 GCF_000001405.40 Homo sapiens | reverse complement strand
AACCCTAATGCATTGGCTCCACAGTGCTTTTTTAATGACAGTCCAAGCTAAATATGAAAGATCCAACTGCAGATTCATTGTGCACTAAAGGCTTGAATCTCTAAGTAGTGGTGACATAGTCCTGTAGGGAAATTGTGAATTGAAGCTTCTCAGAATTAGGCTTCTCAAAGCCGAGGCCCAATGTAGGAAGATAATATGTGGCTGTCTAGAGTGTGGTGCTGAAAAAGGGTCAGAGGGCTTCTGTGTTCCTCAGAAAAGGGAACTGGGATTGATTAGTAATATCTGCTTTGAGTTCAGGAGCAGGGACAGTGGCCCAAATGCCATGTGTTTGTAATTAGCCATTTCCAAGATACCTCCCAACTTCTGGGCTCTGTGCAGAGAGTGGTGGGGCGGGGAGGGGGCTTTCTCCAATGTTCTCTCCATTCACCCTCACTGCAAAGTGTTGATGCTATTTCCATGGGAAGATGTTCATGGAAAGATGTTAAGGAATCAAAAGCAGGATTTAAAAGAAACATACAATGTATAAATAATTACGAACAAATTTTAATATATTTGGAAAAGAACCTGGAAGGAAATATATCATAATGTTCATAATTGTTATCACTGGGTGATAAGATTGTGGATGGATTTTGCTTTTTCCTTCATGCTCATCTATATTTTTCTATTTTTGTGCAATGACCCATATTCCTTTTTAAGCATACATAAATTATATGTGTGAGTTGGTGTGTGCATTCTTCAATATTACATATGTGCAGATTTGGTGGCATGCTTTTTTCACTTTATAAATTCATCAGGAACATTAATTACTCCTCCTCAATGTAATTTTTTAGTTACTACTTAAGGTAATTCTAAGCCTTTTGCTTCATCTGGGCTGAAAGGTCTGGACAGCAACCTCATCATCATCTCCTCATATTTTTTTTTAAAGTATCAACTTTTATTTAGATTCAGAGGATACACGTGCAGGTTTGTTACACGGGTTTATTGCATGATGCTGAGTTTGGGGTATGACTGATCCCATCACCCAGGTATTGAGCATAGTGCCCAATAGGTAGTTTTTCAGTCCTTGCCCCCCTCCCTCCCTTCCCCCTCTAGTAATTCCCAGTGTCTGTTTTTCCCAGCTTTATGTCCATGTGTACTCAATGCTTAGCTCCCACTTGTGAGAACATGCAAAACCCCACCATGTTTGGTTTTCTGTTCCTGCATTAATTTGTTTAGGATAAATTAATTTGTTTAGTAATCTCCAGCTGCATCTGTGTTAACTGTAAAGGATATGATTTTGTTCCTTTTTATGGCTGCATAGTATTCCATTGCATATATGTACCACCTTTTCTTTATCCGATCCACTGTTGATGGGCACCTAGGTTGATTCCATGTCTTTGCTATCATGAATATTGCTGTGATGAACATACGAGTGGAGGTGTCTTTTTGGTAGAATGATGTATTTTCCTTTGGGTATATACCCAGTAATGGGATTGCTGAGTTGAGTGGCAGTTCTGTTTGCAGTTCTTTGAGAAATCTCCAAACTGCTTTTCACAGTGGCTTAACTACCTCAGTTTCTAATACTAGACACACATTAACTTTCTTCCAAAAGGACGAGCAAAAGATAAAAACTCAACAGAAATCTGAAAGACTCTGCAGCCCAAAGGAGGGGGGTATCCTGAGGAGGAGGCCTACATAAGACTCATAGAAGAGAGTCTTACATCATAGAAGACAGTGTTACATCATAAAAGACAGTCTTACATCAGAGAAGAGAGTCTTACATCATAGAAGATAGTCTTACATCATAGAAGAAAGTTCCACATCGTGGAAGATAGTTTGACATCATGGAAGACAGTTTGACATCATAGAAGACAGCCTGACATCACAGAAGATAGCCTTACATCACAGAAGACGGTCTGACATCACAGAAGACAGCCTTACATCACAGAAGACAGCCTTACATCACAGAAGACAGTCTTACATCATAGAAGACAGCCTTACATCATAGAAGACAGTCTGATGTCATAGAAGACAGCCTTACATCATATAAGACATCCTTACATCATAGAAGACAGTTTCACATCATAGAAGACAGTTTGGCATCATAATAGAGGATAGTCTTACTTCATAGAAGACAGTTTTTTTTTTTCTCCTGCCTCAGCCTCCTTAGTAGCTGGGATTACAGGAGCATGCCACCATGCCCAGCTAATTTATGTATTTTTAGTAGAGAAAGGGTTGCACCATGTTGGCCAGGCTGGTCTGGAGCTCCTGACCTTAAGCAATTCTCTCGCCTCAGCCTCCTAAGTAGCTGGGAGTATAGACACAAGCCACCACGCCCAGCTAATTTTTGTATTTTTGGTAGAGATGGGGTTTCGCCATGTTGGCCAGCCTGGTCTCGAACTACTGGCCTCAAGTGATCTGCCCACCTCGGCCTCCTGGAGGGCTGGGATTACAGGCATAACCCATCAAACCTGGCCAGAAGACAGCCTTATATCACAGAAGACAGCCGGACTTCATAGAAGATAGTCTAACATCATAGACGATAGTCTTAAGTCAGAAGATAGTCTTACATCATAGAAGACAGTCTTACTTCAAGATATTTAGAAAATTTCCAGTAACTTCCAACACACTTCAAGAAGACTTGGCCAGGCGCAGTGGCTCACGCCTGTAATCCCAGCACTTTGGGAGGCCAAGGCAGGTGGGTCACCTGAGGTCAGGAGGTTGAGACCAGCCTGGCCAACATGGTGAAACCCCGTCTGTACTAAAAATACAAAAATTAGCTGGGCGTGGTGGCAGGCACCTGTAATCCCAGCTACTTAGGAGGCTGAGGCAGGACAATCACTTCAACCCGGGAGGCGGAGGTTGCAGTGAGCCGAGATTGCACCATCACACTCCAGCCTGGGGGACAAGAGCAAGACTTCGTCTCAAAAAAAATGAAGAAGACTTGGCATCTATAAAATAAGACCCACTTATGCAGAGGGGAAGAAACTGACATCTGAAAAGATTCCGTGGGATCTAGAGCTTCTCTAATTATGGGGAAGGAGATTGTGAATAGAGAGCCCTTAGCCCGGTGCCTGGCCCATAGGCTCTCAAAATATGTTACTGTTATCATTCTTAAAATAAGTTATATTCACACACAACCTATTTTTCTAATGTTTTCCCTTATTAGGATTTATGCCAATTGGGGATTTTTAACCTGCAGTTTTAGCAATTCTGCCAAGCCAGGCCCTTCCCTGCCTCTCCCTAGACTCATGCAAGTTACAGAGTGAGACCCGAATGTGGCCTGGGAGCTGCTGAGCCAGCCAAGGGCCAGGGCGGCTGCCATTCTGCCACGTGCCTGGTCGACTCCGATTGCTTTATTTCTCTGGTGGAGCCACTGTGGTTCGCATGTTGGAGCTGGGAAGGGTTCCATCTGGCTCACAGCCAAGGAGGAATGGAGAATTCCTTCAGACTTAGGTAGGCTGACAATCAACATCATTGCTCCCAAGAAAAAATATTTTGAGTCATGACCCCTGGGTGGGATTGGAACCCTTCAGTTTCTGCCCAGATGTGCCTGCTTCATGGGAACCAGATGTGTTAAAAAGCAAAACACGGGCCAGAAAACCTGCCATGTGTGTAAAGAGGCTGTCTGGAGCAGTCTTCCCAAGGGCCCGCATAGCTTTGCATGTTCTCCAGTGGCTTGACTGAGGAAACCCTAACATGCACACGCAGGAGAGGCAGCCTAGAGAAGTGAACTGGTACCTACCGGCAGCTTTTCATCTTCAAAGCACTTCTGCAAGGCAGGGATTTTTTTTTTTTCTTTTGAGACAGAGTCTCGCTCTGTCACTAGGCTGGAGTGCAATGGCGCGATCTCGTCTCATCGCAACCTCCGCCTCCCGGGTTCAAGTGATTCTCCTGCCTCAGCCTCCTGAGCAGCTGGGACTACAGGCGTGTGCCACAACACCCAGCTAATTTTTGTATTTTTAGTAGAGAACGGGGTTTCACCATGTTAGCCAGGATGGTCTCGATTTCTTGACCTCATGATCTGACCTCCTTGGCCTCCCAAAGTGCTAGAATTACAAGCGGGAGCCACTGCGACCTGCCAAGGCAGGGATTATTATTCCTGTTTTCCAACTGAGGCACTTGAGGCTGTGAGTGACTTTCTCAAATAACAAGGCAGGGTTCATCACACAGCAATCCCTTTGCCATTACTCCAGCCTTTCTCGAACCCCTGTCCCTCAGATCTTAGAGATGCATGTGTGGACCACAGCAATGGACTTTTGGCTGTAGTCTTGGTCTGGGCAAGAAAAAAACGTGGATGGGTTGATATAACACAAGTATCTGAAAGCCAGATTGATAGATGTAAATTTCTAGAGAGAAGGACCTAGACATATAGATTTGAACTTAGTGAGTGGCCTCTGGGGGCCGGGATGCTGCATGTTTGTTCGTTTGTTTTTTGAGACAGAGTCTCGCTCTGTCGCCCAGGCTGGAGTGCAGTGGTGCCATCTTGGTTCACTGCAACCTCTGCCTACTGGGTTCAAGCAATTCTCCTTTCTCAGCCTCCCGAATAGCTGAGACTACAAGCACTCATCACCATGCCCGGCTGTTTTGTATTTTAGTAGAGACGGGGTTTCACCATGTTGGTCAGGTTGGTCTCGAACTCCTGACCTCAGGTGATCCCCCTACCTCGGCCTCCCAAAGTGCTGGGATTACAGGTTTAAGTCACTACTCCCAACAGATGCTGCATGTTAAAGGACTCATGCTCCTCTTGCCTTGAGGGCAGAACAAACACAAATGGAGCCGATGCAGTTCAAGGAATTTCCATAAAAGGCAAGGAAGGAACTCCGGGCCTCAAGAGTTTAAAACTGAGATAAACAGCCCATGTTAATATTTGAGTGTCCTGTTTCACAGTTTTGGGAGGAGGCTGGAGATGATATAATTATGGAGTTCAGTCCACAGCATGACATATGTAAAGCACTTAGCTCAATAAGCATTCCTTCCCTTTCGGGGTAGGGGTCGGGGTAGGGGGATCTTAGAGATGCACAGATACTCCCAATATAAACAAAACATAATCAACTGCAACCATGTAGAATCATCAGGACATGAAATGTGAGCTGAACTGTGGTTAGCCTGGAGGCTGCAGATGCTTCTCAGAGAGCTTTGAAGCAGGATGGCTCAAAGACAAACAAGAAGTGAGAAAGAAAGGAGGGAGAGAGGAGGCGGGGTGGCCCTCTAGTGCCTGGGACAGAGAGGTGTGCGGGAGGAGCTTTCAGGCTCCTTTAGGACTCTGATCTTTCAATGATCTGAAGAAAGCTCATACTGAAAGGTAAAGCTCCTCACACAGGGAATTTGGGAGTCAGGCTCTGCAGTTTTCTTCTATTTCTGGGAGCACTTATTTCAGCAGGGCATTTGCACCAAAGGAAGAGGAAGCCTCCTCAGACGCTGGGCCGGCCATACCCTAACTAAGCATGCACTTTGGGCAGGCACAGCACAACCTCAGCTGCAGTCTCAGTGGTACGGGTGGCATGGAAGACTGGGTGACATGGAGGACTGGGCCTCACCGCACTGGGGCCGGCTACCCCCTGGGGTTGCCATCAGAGCAAGTTCACACACCAGCCCACGGGGGAACTCGTGGGATCTGTCAGTGTGAGCGGAAGAAGGATCAGGCTCCTAGACTAGGGTCCCCCAGGAAGTGGGCAGGCTGGCTGGACTTCAGTAGGAGAACTGAGCTAGAAATCCAGGCATTCTGGTGTGGGGGAGGCAAGAGGCTGCGGGGCAGGCTGGAGTCAGGCTGTGCTAACGGGAAAATAGGGAGTCAGGGAAATTGTTTCCCATGCGACTTCCGTAAGGGCAGTGGACCGGGTCTCATTCAACTCAGGATTCTGAAGTGGCTTCACAAAATACGCTTAGTGTTCCTTACGGACGAAGGAAGGAAGAAAGGAAGGACTAACAGTGCCTTTATTTCAGGATTGTCCAATCTATCCCCCTCCCTCCATCTCATCTCCTGCTGCCATGAGGTCACAGTGGGAGTAAATCGTCCACGACAGGCAATGTAGTGTACTGGTTAAGAAAGGTCTTCAAATCAGATCTCTCTCCCTCCAAGCTTGGCATGTGTGCATTTTTAGCTAAATTCTTAACAGCTCCATGCCCAATTCCTAATCTGTCAAATGGCTTAGAATGTTACGTAATGCTGAGATCACACCTGGGGAGACGACAATGTTAGCTCATGTGGGTTGAGTGCTCCGATGCACGCTGGGCTCGTGTTTCACTCATTACCAATGTAATCATCACGGAGCCTCTGGGAGGTGTGTGCTACCATTAGTACCCACTTCACAGATGAGGAAACTGAGACATAGAGTGATTGAGTCACTTGTCACCTAGGCCTGCAGCCAGTCAGGGGCAGATCCAGGATTCAAGTCCAAAGAATCAGATTCCAGGGCCCCAGCCCACAGGATACTGCTTTTTAATCAGCGAGCACACTTACTACTAATCAGGGTGATTGTCACTTTACCCACCTTGGCGTAACCAAGGGCTTCTGATTTGTAGTGTTTTATGATAATAAAAAAATACATAGCTTGGAGGTGGGTGGCAGCATTTGTGCTAAAATATGCTGGATGCAAAGTTGTTCTGGGTCTGAGTTGTGCCCATTCTGAAAGGAGTATTAGATCAAAGAATGCTTACCTGTGCTGTGACTTTGTTTTATTATGGTTATAATTTTGTTTTCTTCTTGGAAAATGCCTCTATTAAAGGTCTGCCTCTTTCTTTCTTTTCTTTCTTTCTTTCCTTCTTTCCTTTCCTTTCTTTCCTTTCTTTCTTTCTTTTTGAGACAGGGTCTTGCTCTGCCACCCAGAGTGGAGTGGAGTGCAGTGGCGTGATCATGACTCACTGTAGCCTCCACCTCCCGGGCTCAAGTGATCCTCCCACCTCAGCCTTCCAAGTAGCTGCACCACCACACCCTGCTAATTTTTAAAATGTTTTTGTAGAGATGGGGTCTCACCATGTTGCCCAGGCTGGTCTCAAACTCCTGGCCTCAAGCAGTCTTCCCCTACTTTGGCCTCCCAAAATGCTGGGATTATAGGCGTGAGCCATCTCACCCGCCCCAAAATATGCCTTTTAAAAATAAGCTAAGATTGGGTTGGGTGTCAGGGATGATGAGTCTAATTCCCATTGTGTTCCCAAATCTCAAATTTTCCTTCCAGCCGTAGATGGGTCCCGGGCCTTTTCACATCCTAGCCCAGGGCTCCTGAAGCTGAGCCCACAGGGGATGATCCACAGCAGCTCCTCCCACCATGGCTGGGCTTTGCTCACACTCATACCCAGCTCCTCCTGGCCACCACATGCCTCAGGGCCTTGTGTCCCTTGGCATTCCACCCCCTCCTGCCCCACCTTTAATGCCCTTTGCACATCCCCCCACCCCTTTTGAGCCCAAGAGAGTTCCCACCTCTCCAGTGGAGCGTTTGGATAACCAGGTTCAGCTGCAAGCACAAGAAGCCTCTCTAGCCAGGCAAAGCAAAGGGATTTAACCTGGGGCATTGAGTGCTTTCAAAACTACTGGGCACTGCGGGAGTGGTCTGTAGGCCTCCGGGAATGCTTCATGACTGTTCCAGCCCACAGTTGTCTCTCCTATCTCTGATGCATTTCATTCATTCATTCATTCAGTGTTCATGGAGCAGAGGCAGTGCCGGCTGCTAGGGACAGGACACCAGGATGAATGAATAAAACATGATCTCTTCTCAAAGAACACAGGGCCTACACGCCCTGATGATGAACTCTGGATAAGAGCCATGAACAGAGTAATGCAGGGCCCCAGGAGGGTGCGCCTACCTCAGTGTTGGGGAAGCGTGGAAGGACTGCGGAGTGCGCAGAGGGCAAGAGCAGGCCTCTGCCCAATCATGGGGTCATAGACAGAGGGGGTGTGGAGGAACCACACGTCTTTCCCTGTGGTTGCAGTACAGGGTAGGGTAGGGGTGCCGGGACAGGTGACCAGAGAGAGGATAAGCTGGTCAGGGTGAGGGGCTTTTGGGGCATGACCTGACCATTACGTGGTGTTGTCTTATTATTTAATTACAGTGGTCAAGAAGGCAGACTTACCAGCCAGCCTGGCTGAGTTAAAATTCTGCTGGGCTCAAAACCTACTAGTTGTGTGACCTCAGGCAAGCTATCCAACCTGCGGACCTCACTTTTCTCATCAGTAAAATGGGGTAATAACAGTACCCACATCATGGGGGTGCTGTGAGGGTTAAATGAGTTGATATGTAATAACACACTTAGACCTGTATCTGGCCAAGGTGTCAGCTGTCAGCCCTGGATGTTATTTAATGCCTAACTCTGTACCAGGCAGCATGCTGGTGATTTTCCATAAATTCTCTCAATCAGTCCTCTCAAAGGCCCTCCCTGGGAGGCAGGCGTTATTGATCTGTTTTATTATACAAAGGAGAAGTCTATTTCTAGTTTCCTCTGAGATTTTAGCTCCTTCACTGGCTCTGTTCTATTTCTGTCTCCCGTGCACTGTCGCTGCAGGAGCCCTGCCAGAGACAGAGAGGAACCAAAGCCCCCTGGAACTCCAAGAGGAAGGACAAGTTAGATCTGGGCTTCCACAGAGCCATCATGCTCTCCTGCCTTAGTTACTGGAAAGGGATCCAACGCACTCTCACAAGCCCACACGCAGCCCGGACGGCAGACGTGCCGGTCAAATTTGTTAAAGTCATAAAATTTGGCAGGACGGAGTTTGGTAGAAGTGGAGGATGAAGTGAGGGATCCAGTCGAATGAGTGGGATGCTCTGGAATAAGCAAGAACCAAGAGCAGGCACTGCCTGGAGCGGCAGGCGATGCTCCCACCCCTCCAGCGAGGACACCCTCAGGGGTGTGGGACTAGTGTCCCCGAGGCTCCCCTCACCCAGGACTGGTGGCATCCCCACCTGCCTAGTGGTAGGAACAAACACTGTATCCCTCTGACCATACATTTCCTCTAACAAAATATTCATTTTCCTAAGAAAATGAACGGAACGTTCCTTCAGCTGGGCATTCCGTTCTTCCTTTAAGGGAGCCTGGCATTGCTTCGACAAGGGCAGGCAGGAAGGAGGCTAGCGTTTTCCCCTCTGCCAGCCGTTCCACGTGCTCTAGGGGACTGTCCGTTTAATTCTCTTGGCAGCCTCCTAGGGAGGCACTGTCATCTCCACTCTGTGGATGAGCAGTCAGGGGGCCAGCAAGTCCAGCCAAGTCCAGAGTCTGGCCAGAACAGGCCGGCCCCTTCAGTGGAGGTGAACCCCTTTCATCTCAGCTCTGGTCTCTGCCTTTCAAGGCAGCAGTGGCTGCTGGTGTATTGCAGGCGTCTTGCCCAGGGGGCTGGCAGTGACCATGAGAATGTGAGTTGTCCCTGGCCCTGAATCCTCCTCCTCATGCAGGAGGCGGGTGAGGCAGAGAGGATGGTCATGAAGGCAGAAGCCTCGATCCTGAGCCGCAGGGCCTCAGTGCACTTGCACACACATTGTCTCATTTTACCTCCAAACCCCGGGGAGGAGGCTGCAGTGTTCCTGTGTCTCAGGTGGAGAAACTGAGGCCCACAGAGGTCTAGGAAGCAGCTTGTGGGAGGGCCAGAGCTTTACCCCACACCTCCACATGGCAAGTGGCTCACCCGGCAAGTGGCTTACCTGCGCCATCGGAGCAAATGGCTTCCTAGTGGACAGCGATGGGGGGCTTTCATTAGCCCAGGCAAGACCCCTGCCCCATCCGCATTTCCTTATTTACCTCGCGACATTGCTCTCTGAGGTCGGTGGTGTTAGGATTATCCCCACTTCACGGGTGAGCGAACTGAGGCCCAGAGAGGTTAGGTCACCTGATTAATAAACAAAGGCATAAAAGGGGCATTCGTTTTTCGATGGAGAGGATAAAGCAGCCTGGTTTGTACATTCTGAGAGGCTCTGCGGCTTGTTCATCTCGAGGGCTGTGTGTGCTTTATTGGGAGCTGTCCCACCTCCTGGGGCTGGATGCCAGGCAGGCCATCTGCTTCTGGGGCTGGGCGCCCCTCCCACAGTCATTGCCTTCTCCCTGAACGACTGGCTCCCAACTGGCTGCAGCCGTTAAAGAAGTTCCAGGAAAAAGATCTTAGCCAGCCTCCTCTGCAACCTAATTTCTGCTGCTGTGGGTATTGCCTTGTCTGCATAAATGGCTCTGCTAATTTTCTGCTGCTGCCTGTTGTTGAGGTTGCAGAACGGCAGGGGAAGAAGGGCAGGAACCAACCACTTTCCTTGGCACCTGCTCAGGGCCCTGTCGGCCCCTTGATGAACGTGGTCTCTTGTCTCCCACTCCATTAGCAGCAGCCCTGCAATCCTCACAAAGCTGAAGTCAGATCAGGTCGCTGCCCAGCTGGGTACCATCCTCTGCACAGAGGAGAACCCCAGTGCCCCACTGCTGCCCCTGGGGCTGTGGACCCAGCCTTCCATGTACCTCTCACCTTCCTCCTCCACATGGCGCTCTGGACTCGGGGCCTTCCTTCTGCGCCTGGAGTAGGCACACCTGTGTGTCCCCAGCAGGACTCCTGCACCAGGACAGCTCCCAGCCACTCAGACACTCAGGGGCCTTCCCTGGCTATTCCCTGGAGTCTAGGTCGGGCTCCCCTAGTCTAGGTTGGGCTCCCTTATCTGTCGACCCCCTCATGGTGCTCACAGTGCTCCTCACAGTACACACTCACAGGCGTGTTCTCTGCTGAGTGGCTGCAAGCTGTGTGTGGGCAGGGACAACGTTGTTTGTTCATCTCAGTGTCCTGGGGGCCTGGCACGTAATAAGCTCACATTCACATTTGCAGACTCGGCTGAAGAAAAGTAGGACCCACTGTTGTTGCCATCCCATTCTTTCTACTTCAATGCCAAGGAGACAGGCCAAGGGCCATCAGGCGACTTGCGCAGGGTCCTGCGTGGTCACACTGGGAATCCAACCAGGTTGTTCTGGCTGAACTTTGCTCTCTGTTCACAGCCTCCCAGCAACTGGGATGTGCATTTCCTCCACATCTGGGTTTCTCAGTGCTCAGTCATGTATATATTTGGAGCAGAAATAGAAGCACAATGTTTTGTGAAACCCTGAAGGGGAAGCTTCCACACAGTGCCCAGCATCCAGTGGTGAATGTGACCTTCCATCAGGAAGCCTGGAGCTGGGGTCTGTCCCTTTACCCAGAGAGACAAATGCAGACACACATAGCTTGGGACATGGCCAGCTGTATTCGTGGCAACAGGGCAGGAAGCTGGGAAGGGCCGGCCAGACCAGGCCGGGAAGAGGTCTGAAGAGAGGAGGGAGCGGCAACAGTGGCTCCACCTGCAGCAGGTGTGTGGGGAAGGAGGGGGGAAGGTCTCACAGGAGGAGGGGTGTGCTCACAGGGGGTGAGGTGAAGCACCTGGAAACCCTGGTGCCAGTAAGCACAGCACAGGCGGGCTTCCAGGAGGCTCCACCCTGGGCACTGCAGTGGGCAGAGGAACCCTAGGACCACCCCCACCCCCAGTTGTTAAACATTTAACAGCACACTATCGCCTGGCACATCTGGGCACCAGAAAGGAGGCCTCGGAGCTCGGGAGCAGGGCAGAGGGGGAGAGGTGTTTCAGAGGCAGACAACCTTTGTTCTGTTGCAATGCGAAGTTTCTGGAAGGCTTAAAGCAGAAGGGTAACATGATTTGATTTCGCTTTGCTGGACAGATTTACCAAACACCCTAAGGTCCTGGGAACATGTAAATGTGGCAGCCAGGGGGAAGGGGAGATTGAGTTATCTGAATCGGGGTCCAGGCAGGATCTGAATCCAGACACTAAGGAGAAACCCACTTACCACAATAGAAGCTGAAGATCAGAATGAGTCCAGGTGTCCAAAGGTGGGCTCTCAGGGTGCTGACCGGGCCTGGGGGTGGAAGTGTGGGGCTGTGGAAGGCTAAGCCTACAGGTGCTGCCAACGGGCTCTTCCTGTGCAGAGAGAAGGGTGGCAGTGACCCCCACCGCCTGCAGTGGGACGGCTATATCTGTCAGCCTCTATGGCTAGAACTCGTGGTCTACCCAGCATACCCCCCAGGGAGATTGGTGGCCCTAAGGTTGCTCTAAGTTTCTACGATGGCTGCATTCTCACCACACTTAAGTTCCACTTAGCCTCTGAGCAGCACCATGGCCCAAGCTCAACATTGTGATGAGAACAGGTGCTTCTCCACCTTGGCTGTACATCGGAGCCACTGGGGAGCTTTTCTAACCTCAGACCAATTAAACCCAGAGGTCCCCTGGGAGTGGGACCCAGGCATCAGCCTTTTTGAAAGCTCCCCAGGTGACTCCAATGTGTGGCCAAAGTTGAGAACCTCTGGATTAGAAGGAATTGCTGTAGAGTAAGAGACCACTTGTTTTTCCACATATTGACTTGGTGCTGGATTCTCTTGACAGGCAATTCCAGGCATGATGGCAATGCCTTGTGCCATTTCTTTGGTTGTTAAATGGAACCCCGAAGTCCTTTTCTGCTGGGTGGCCCCTGGCTGCGATGAGAGGCTGGAGAGTTGCATGATCCAGCTCAACGACCTGTCTGTCTGCATTAACAGTAGCCTGAATTATGACAGTAGTGGCTGTGCTCCCAAAGGGGGTTAAAGTACTTGAGCTATCCCTTCTGGAAGCACAGCCCCTTTTGAAGACAGAAGATGCTGACTAATTAGCAGTTCCAGCCGTGCTCCTCAGTAGCCAAGGGAAATGCAGGAAAGAAATCCCATCAGCCAATCCCAGAAATATCAGGTGGGCAGGTGTCATTTACACAAGTACACATCTGATTGAGTGGAGGTGGCTGGGCATTCCATGGAGCAGTGAAGAGGGTGTGAAAATTCCTCTGGCTTCTTTAGGAAAAAGGCAGGAAAAGGAAAAGGACAGATGGCAAAGGTGATTTGAAAAATGGGGCTAAATGAAAGCACCATAAAACAAACTGGTGCCATTCTGGCCTTACACAGCCTGGCTGAAAAGAGTCGTAGGAAGAACACAGCTGTTGAATGAGGTGTCTATGTCCTCAGCTGGGCCCCTGTTCATGTTGCTCGGCTGGGATACAGCTCTGGGGTCCAGTCCTCAGAAGGTTGTGGGCTGATGTCAAGGTGGGGGCATCAGGAAGCAGGCAGGCAACTAGAGAACCAGAGTGACGGTCAGCAGGGGTGTGCAGAGGGGCCAGAGCCCAGCAGAAAGGCCCGGGAGGGGTTGCCAGATCAGGCACTGGGAGCCTCCGCCGAGGCAGCGTCTGTCCTGACTCCATGGCTTGTGTTCTGAGCCCTATAGCAGCTTCCTGGAGACCAGACAGCCAGCGGCAACATACTCTGAATGGTGTTTTGCCAACTTGCCATGTGGCTCGGACAACTTACTTTACTTCTTTTTTTTTTTTTTTTTTTTTTTTTGAGACAGAGTCCCACTCTGTCACCCAAGCTGGAGTGCAGTGGCACAATCTTGGCTCAACTGCAATCTCAGTCTCCCAAATAGCTGGGATTACAGGTGTGTGCCACCATGCCTGGTTAATTTTTGTACTTTTTATAGTGACGGAGTTTCACCATGTTGGCCAAGCTGGTCTCAAGTGATCTGCCCGCCTTGGCCTCCGAAAGTGCTGGGATTATAGGTGTGAGCCACCTTGCCTGGCCCAACTCACTTAACTTCTATGCATTTCACTCTCATCTGTAAAGAAGATAAATCATCTGATGACTGGAGAGTTAGAAATCTTGCATGTGGAGTTGCAGAGGAACGGGTGCATAGTAAATGCTCAGGAAGGTGGCAGCTTGTTCTCCTCCTCCTCTTTCCCCTCATCACCATCAGCAGCAGTAGAAGTTGGTGGGTATCGCTCATGGCATTTACTCCGTGCCTGAAGGAGACTCTAGCTCTCCGTAGGTCTTCTGCTAAGAATATAGGTCTTGAAAATTGGATAGTTTGGAATCTAAATGCTGCCACATTCGCCCCCGAGGGAGGAAGCAGGCCCTGGTGGAGGACCTGCCTGCCCCGCGCCAGCACTCTGCCTGGGCCATTGGCATCGATTAGCTCCCATGAGCCTCACAAGCACCCACAGGGCGATGCTCTTCTTACCATGTTACAGGCGAAGAAATGAACCTTCATGGGACTGGAGCTCTGCCTGAGAGCTCACAGGAAGAGCAGGGATTTGGGCTCCATTCTGCGTGACTCTGAAGCCCCGCATTTTAACAGCAAACTCCTCTTATTTGACAATGCCTGGAGCCCATGGTGTGGCTCCTGGTGTTGCTGAGGTTTTGTAAGCTCTGGTACTGCTGCAGCACAGTGGCAGCCATCTGGGCGTTTCTTTTCTTTTCTATTTTTTTGGAGACAGAGTCTCGCTCTGTCACCCAGGCTGGAGTACAGTGGCGCCATCTCAGCTCACTGTCATCTCTGCCTCCTGGGTTCAAGCAATTCTCCTGCCTCAGCCTGCCGAGTAGCTGGGATGACAGGCGCATGCCACCACTCCCGGCTAATTTTTTTGTATTTCAGTAGAGGTGGGGTTTCACTATGTTGGTCAGGCTGGTCTCAAACTCCTGAGCTCAGGCAATCCGCCCGCCCCGGCCTCCCAAAGTGCTGGAATTGTAGGCATGAGCCACCGCGCCCAGCCCCGTGTGGGCTTTCCTAACCAGGCTCCCTTCTTGTCTCTGCAGGGCCCTCATCTTTGTGTCCCATGGAGCCGGAGAGCACAGTGGCCGCTATGAAGAGCTGGCTCGGATGCTGATGGGGCTGGACCTGCTGGTGTTCGCCCACGACCATGGTGAGTGTCCCAGGGTGCCGTCAGAGCTGGCTGGGCCCTGACAATTTGGAGATCTCCCTCTCTAGTCCATCTCACTGCCAGCATCCTTCTCAATTCTTCTATTCCCCACGGATGTTTCAAAGTAAAAAAATGTAGTTATGCAAACAAACAAAAAAAATGTCTGACGAGCAGATTCTGTAGTCTGAGACTGAATGCAGGCTGATTAGAAACCTCAACTGGAAAAACAAAGTCGGATATGTTCATCTCAGAACTTGCCTGAGGCTAAGGAATTCTTTCCTGCATTTATAAAGTGCTTTCTCTCAAAATGGGCCCTGGTTTTTCTCCAAGTGCCCTCAAATGGGCATTGTGTAGTCAGTTCAAGTACAGTGTAAACCCTGGTTTAACCACACGAGGTTTACCAAGCATTTCAGACCAGGAGAATAGTAGAAGCCTCAACAGGCCATATTGTTCACAAGAAAACCCAACACACACACAAATACAAGGACACACAGCTACCCATGCATATAGTCATACACACATTTGCACACATACACATATACATACACATGCACACACATACACACCTGTACCTATACACATACACGTAAAACACACATACACACATACATACACATGTGCACCTACACATTTACACACATATACACACATTCACACATACATATAGACATATACATGCATACATAAACATACCATCCATACACAATCACACACACACAACCCCAGGCCAGGTCTTTGATTCTTTGTTCTGTAGCAAAATCCACAACCATCAAAATCCAATGTTCATTGTCTGAGTCGGTATGTAGTTTTGTAATCATGTTTGCAACATTCTCTATGGCTAGGAAGTCTCCCAATTTAGTTCTTTGCCTAACACTTTTTAAAATTAAGACTTCTCTGTGACTGAACACGGTGATTTCCCCACAGCTTCAATGTAAAATTCTATCATTGTGGCCCAGATCCAGAAATGTTGCTTCCATTTTATCTGATTTGAAAATGGATAATAATTAAGTGATGTCTCTGAAAAGAGGGACAGGGGAGCAATGACAGAGGCCTGGAAGTCCTTGTAAATGCGGGAAAGCCTTATCTGTACGGAGAAGCTGCACAGGAGGTGAAAAGCTTGCTGGGACATTCTGTAGGTAAAGAGCTGCAAATGTGATTTGCCAGGGGCTCTTATTCAGCTGGATATACACAAGCGTCCTCATAACTGACAGTATTGACTAATTCTTTCTTATCATAGTTGTGACGTTCTTTAGTGCTTTGCGAACTGTCCCAGTAATATTTGTGAGACTGTTTGAGAAATAATATTTGAGGATCATCTCCGAGGCTTTTAGTATGGGGACTGTGTCATTATTAACTTTGGCACTTCTTACATGTAAAAGCCTCAGATAGGAATTTTTTTTTCCTATTGCATTTGCATCCTTTAAAATTTGTTACACTCATCATCGTTATGTTCTAGAGACATTGTGAAGGAAAAGGATATTTGTACTATGCAGCTAGAGTCCCAAGAATCTATTTTGTATCTTAGCACCAACCACCTTCTTATCGGATAAAACTTGGCCAAATCTGTGGGATTAAGTAAATGTTGTTCCTTGTTTATTTTGTCTGGCTGTGGCACTTTGAGAAACAATTTTAAAAGCCTCCTTTTTTAGAATAAAGGGAGAAAAGAAACAGCCCACCTTTTGATGTTTCCAGAATAACATCTAGAGTTGAGGCAGAGCTCTCTGTGACATTCTAAATATAGTGCGAAAATGGCTGTTGGTGTTCACCTGTTTCAAGCTCTTTGAATGACTCATGGAAATCTCTCTGGCAAGTGCCTAAGGGAAGTGTTTAATTCAGGAAATGAACCCAGTTGACTGTGCGTGTGTGACTTTTGCTGTGGCTTGCTTAGTAGAAGGAAGCCAAGTAAGTGGGCTGCCATTTTGGGGATCTTGTGCAGGCTGGCGATGCAGGTACTGGTGGCTAGTGATCTTGGCTGTATTTCCTTCTTGCTGAGAAATGTGCTAGTAAGTGAAGAAGGAAGGATTTGAACCCAGGTCAAACCTTCTTTAGAAGGTTGGGGAGGGAAAGGAGTGAATGGATGCTAAATCTGACGCTAACTGATTTTACTAGCTTGGATCTCGTTGCTCAATGCATTATAGTATTTCGCTGTTCAGCATTTTAACAGCAAATCCTCTTATTTAATAAGGCCTGGAGCCCACAGTGTGGCTCCTGATGCATTGCTGAGGTTATGTAAGGTCCTGCGCCGCTGCATTACAGCCACAACTGTCTAGACTTTTCTAAGAAAAAAAAAAAGGCTGGTTCTAAAGCCTGGCCTTTTTTATTACTGTACACCAATGTTTCCAGGCACAAATGCCTACAGAGATATATGCAGACTGCATTCTTTCCAACATAGCTTTTATTTTATTTTTTTACTTTTTATTTTTTTGAAATGGAGTCTTGCTCTGTCGCCCAGGCTGGAGTGCAGTGGCGTGATCTCAACTCACTGCAACCTCTGCCTCCCGGGTTCAAGCGATTATCCTGTCTTAGCCTCCTGAGTAGCTGGGACTACAGGCGCCTGCCACTATGCCCGGCTAATTTTTGTATTTTTGGTAGAGACAGGGGTTTCACCATATTGGCCAGGCTGGTCTCGAACTCCTGACCTCAGGTGATCCACTCTCCTCGGCCTCCCAAAGTATTGGGGTTACAGGCGTGAGCCACTGCACCCAGTCCAACATAGCTTTTAAATTTAAATAAAGCAGGCAAGGTGCAATGGCTCACACCTGTAGTCCCAGCACTTTGGGAGGCTGAGGTGGGAGGATCGCTTGAGGCCAGGAGTTTGAGACCAGCCCAGGCAACATAGTGAGATCCTGTCTCTACAAAATAATTTTTTTTAATTAGCTGGGCCCCATGGTATATACCTATAGTGCCAGCTACTTAGGAGGCTGAAGTGGGAAGATCACTTGAGCCTGAGAGTTCAAGGCTGCAGTAAGCCATGATCACACCATTGTACCCAGCCTAGAGGAAAGAGCAAGATCCTGTCTCAAAAAGAAAAAAAATTAAATAAAACAAATATTAGGAGAATGTCAGGACATTTATTGTGCCCATTGGAGGTACACTGAAAACTAAAAACGGAGCTGAAAACACTGCTGCAGGGCCCATGGCACCTCCAAGGCTCCAACATCCAAACCTCCCATGTCTTTAGCCATGTTGTCATCTGCACTCCAGGGTGTCGCTGGAAGCATGCTACTGCACTTTCATCCCAGACAGCAGAAGGGCTCAGACACTAATACACCCAGTCCAGGGTCCACTCAACAGGGAGTCCAAGCCGTGTGATCTGCACCTTGTTTAACTATCCCCAGTCTTAATTTTCTCATCTACAATGTAGACTGGCTGCTGTGCTGTGTACCCAGGTGGGCGTGACCCCAGGGCTCTGAGCAAGACCAGCAGGACTGAGGCTGGGAGTTAGGGGGTTCTTGTCCCCGTGTGGTTGCCCTGAGCGGGCTGGGTCACCCCTCAGGCCTGCACAGGCCGTTCTGAAGATACAGTGAAGCAATAGATAGGAAAATGCTTTACAAAGTAGACAGAGCTGCCTATGGTGGTTTCACTGCCCGGTTTCTATGACACGATTTATGGAAACACTGGCTTCTGTAAATCTGATGCTAACTGATTTTACTACCATGGGTCTCATTGCTCAATGCATTACAGTATTTCACTGTTCAGACAGAAACCTCTAGGCGCCGCGGTTGTGGCAGTCTGGCTGTGTCTCCAGCATGCCTGGTAAATTGGTGGGCTCAGAGTCATGTTCAATAAGCATCTAATTTAACTTTGTTCTCCATGTTAACCTCAGAATTTGTACAAAATGAACTCATGGGTTTGAATGGCTTGCCAGCAGTGAAAATTGTGATTCCTGCCATTTATTCAGTGTCAACTGCATGCCAGGCTCTCTACTGGGCACTTTTCTCATATGATCTCTAATTTCTCACAACAATTAATCTTATTTTCCCCATTTTATAAGTGAGGAACGTGTGGCTGTATATTCAAGCAGATCCATTCTCATTGCGCATGTGTTAGCAAAGGGAAGTTTTGTCTTCTTCCAGGGCACGTGATGTCTGAGGCAGGTGCAAGGACTCCATGGCACCATCAGTGCCCAGGGTTCCATCTGTAGTTTGCTCAGCTGGTACTACTTAGCATGTGGCTTTCATCTGTGTGGGCACTACCTCCAGCCTCATGTTCTAACAGGTAGAGGAAGCAGGAAGTGACAGAGAAAAAGGGCTGGGCTCCTATCAGGAAGGCAAAGCTTACTTAGAAATCCTGGCAGGCTCTAGCCCCACTGCATTGACCAGTGCTGTTCACAGGGCTCTGCCTAGCTGCAAGGGAGGCAGGAACTGTAATTTTTAACTACTGACCCAAACAACAGAAACTTCTGTTGGTAAGGTAGACACAGAGAATGGACATTGCTGATGGCTATCCATCTCTGCCATGCCACACTCCCAGGTTTATTATTAAATTAGCATTTCCCCGATTGTTTCTACTTTATGTATTTTCTGGGCATTTCAGCTCACTCACAGGATTTCCTTTCATCTCACCCATCCTTGTGTTCTTTCTGAAGGTTTTGATGTGAAGGCTATTAGTATTGGCATCATTAATAAGCATTGGTTGAAGTTCCTAATTGGGTGTTTGTTCTGGGTGAGGTGTGAAGCAAGGAGAAATGCATGGACACAGTAACTGTTGTCCTAATGAGAACATGACCCGTCTTCCCCAGAGAAAGCAAGCAGCCCCTCTCTAAGGGCATAGCTTTTTATAGCATGTATTATCCTGCGTGGGAACTATTCCTTTAGGCCAAGGCAGCCACTGCAGGCAGGCAAAGACAGTGTCTTACATTGTGTTGTCCATTCGCTCCTCTCCCTCCCCCAAGACCCTTCTCATCATCTTTGCATAGCATAGTCCATTCCTGGACTGAGCAGGAAGTGGAGGCATCAACAGTGTTTGCTGAATGACTGGAAGAGTTTATAAGCCAAAATAGATCAGACCAGAAATGCTTTAAATATTAAGGGTAGAACATCCACATTAAGGTATCCACGTAAGCAGGGCACTGCCGGGTCCCCTCAATGAGCAGAGGGTCCAGCAGTGTGGCCACTGGACCTGAGTCTGGTGACCAAGCAGGTGGAGAGCCCGTAAGTGCCATGGATGCGCTGCTGGGACAGAGGCGCCACAAGGCCCGCAGCTCAGGAAGGGGTGTGGCACCTCCAGGCTCAGGGCATCCTCAATGCCTGGAGGGCCAGAAGGGTGGCTGGCAGGATGGCCGGGTCTTGTCGGAGAGTGGGAGCTTGTCAGCAGGAGGAAGGGCTCCGATCGTTGAGAGCCATGGTTCTCACCTTGCCTACTGTCAGGATTACTGGGGAGTCAAAAAATCCTGAAGCCTGGGCTCCCCCTCCCCCACCCCTCAGAGATCCTGATTTATTGGTCTTTGGTGTCACCTGGGCATCAGGATTTTAAAAGATACACGAGGTGATTCTTATATGCAGCCCAGGTTGAGAACTACCACTGAGCAGAGGAGGCCACACAGGCACAAAGTTTGGAGCTGGTGAAGACAGGATTTATTAGGAAAGGCTCTGGGGCCTGGAAGGATGGAAGGCCACCAGGAGACTTTGGAGATCCTCAGGAGAGGGGCCTCAGAGTAGAGCCCATGAGGGAGAGGTGCACGGGCAGCCAGAAACGGAGGGGCTGCTGCCATGTGTGAACAGGTGGGGACACCAGAAGATGGGATTTTCCGCAACATTCTAAATATAGCAGGGAGAAAACCGGGGCTGGCGTTCTCTTGGTCCCTGGTCTGCCAGCTGCTGCAGTGACTCACTGGAAACCCCTTGGCCTTCCATGCAGGCAGAAGGGCCAGTCTCACCCAGAGGGGGCAAGGAGGACTCCGGGAGGAGGGCACACATGGACCCACCCAGGAGGCGCTGCTGCGAGAGACGGTGGGAATCTGAGGCCCATTTGCCCGCAGGCCTGCTCCCTGCAGTCCTGCTGGAAAGGGCCCTTCCCCAGGGAGCAGCCTCCTGACTTCCTAACACGCACTCTCGGCTCCAGGAGCACTTGCTGGGGCCAGAGAAGCCTCCTCTGTATTTACAAAGTATAAACGAACCATCCTCAACTGATGAACAGTGAATTAATTATCTGCAAATATTTGAGGGAAAGTGTTAAAGAGGGCTTTGTGTGTGTGTTTTTTTTTAACTCAGCTGGGGCATGTGAGAAGAGGAAGTTTTGAGGGAATGTCTGTGGGCGGCAGTTACGCGTGGTTCTCCTTGGCGGGTGGGTCCTATCCAGTCAGAAGAAGAGTATTTAGGAAATTCAGGGGGAATAATTGTATATGGGTGTTTTTCATCCAGGGAGACAGATTTGAGTCAAGGTCGCTTGCTGGAAGTATTCTAAAATAAACTGCCATAGGTTTATTTTATTTCTTGTAAGTAATATATTTTTGTTTGAAACGTTTGAAAAATGTGTTAACCGTTTTTCTTGCCTTAGTAAATATGAGAATTAAAATAATGGAGTGAGTTGCCCTTTAAGTCTTCAAGAGTTCCTTGGGGGCCCAACTCCGAGGGTGGGTGACAGTGAACTTGCTGCAACTTGTAGAGTGTGGGAGAGTGGACTGTGCCACCCTGAGACCCCCATAGTCTCTGCTATTCCCCAACTCATTCCCTTCGTCCCCTTGCCTCCTCCTCTTCCTTCTTCATTCACTATTAAGCATAGTGAATGCTCTACCTTTGATGAAAGCCTGTTGAGTTTATTTGATGTAAGTCTCGGATATGAGTTTGTGTGCCCTCTCTGATATGAGGTCATTTGCCTCTGTTGAACAAAACAAAAACCTCCATGTGGCTCAGTTGCTCGTTTGTAAAATGAGGACCATGATAATAACAAGGTTGCTCTGTGGCCGTGGAGATGAAATGAGATAGCGCAGGGTCTGAAACTCCAGTGGCAGCAGCATCCCCTGTTGAAAGCCAGATGGCTGGGCCCACCCCAGGATTCAGATTCAGTTGGTCTGCTGTGGGGCCCAAGAATGTGCATTTCTAACAGCCCCTGGGGGTGCTGCTGCTGCTGCTGCTGCTGCTGAGGACCCCTGAGAGAGTGTGTGTAACAAACCATACACAACGCCAGGCATCTATTAGACACGAAGTACCTGCCAGCTCACCTGCAAAGAAAGGTGCAGGGAGACTTTGCAGCTATTGAAAGTTCTGTCCCAGACTTCAAAGGATGCTTCCTCAAGGAGATGAAATTGAACAGGGAAATATGGAGAAAGAGCATTCAGGTGAAGGAACTCTTCTTCCTTCATTCTTTGATATTCACTGAATGCCCAACTGCACTCCTAACTGTTCTAGGCACAGAGGTCCAGCAGTGAGCCAGGCAGACATGAGTGAATAAGGAGAGGTGTTATGTCCTGCCAAGTGCAGGGGAGGCAAGAGGCAGGAGGCTGCCAGGGAGAGGGGCTCCCTCTGCCCAACAGTTTGGGAAGCCTTTCAAGAGGCTGTGGCAGTCATTTGGACCCATTCTTGCAAAGGTCTGGGTGGCAGAGGGAGTCTAGAGCTGGGAACAGTCAGTGCAAAGGCCCGGGGGCAGGGGCTAGCAGGGTGCTCTCAGGTCGCCAGCAAGCCAGGATGGTCAGAGCTTAGACAGAACAGCAGGTGAGCAGTGATGGGCAGGGGCCTTGTGGGCCCAAGGAGGAGGAACAGAGGCTGCTCTGGGATGTTGGAAGCCACTGGAGGGAGGGCTGTGAGCAGGGGAGCAGTATACTGTGATGTGTGTGATTTCTGAACGACCTGAGGCTGCTGTGCGAAGACAGATTGCAGGGCGAAGTCAGGGAGTGTGGGGAGGACTTTGGGCCGCCAGGCTGGGAGGGACTTGCTGTGTGCTGTGTGGCAGTGTCAACCAGACCTCTCTGAGCCTTGAACTTGGGTGGCGACCCTAGGAATAAAGAGGCCTGAGCAGAGTGGAGAGACACAGAGATAAAAGCAACAAGATTTGGCAGAGAGGTGAGAGACAGGGAAGGCCCAACAGTGGCGAGCCTGAGTCTCCTTGTAACGACATCTCCCTCTAGAAATGGAAGGCTGAGTCTAGTCTGCATCATACTGAACTCAAGGCCTCGTGCATGTCTCAGGGTCCCTCCCCCAAGTCCACATGTTGTGGGTGCAACTTAAGGCAGCAAGATGAGAGCAGGTGCACTCTTTAACAAGTCCCCGTCATGCTGTCCCAGTCCAGAGCCAGCCCGGCACAGCCTGTGTCCACCCTACCTGCCTAGGCCTCTCCTGTCTTGTGGTGACCCCCAGGGCCTGTCCTAAGAAGACACAAGTACTGAGCACCCAGCATGTGCTCAACACTGTGTTTACATGTTCATACCTTATCTGACTTGTCCTCACAGCGCTGCCAGGAGGTGAGACTGTTGTCTCCCTCTTACTGACGAGGAAGCTGAGGCACAGACAGGTTAAGCCGCCTGCCCAAGGTGGCATGGCTGCTACGTGGCAGAGCCTAGACTCAAGCCCAAGCTGTCTGGCTCTAGAGTTCAAGGGGTCTAGAATTTGACCCCTTCGGGGGACCCTGGCCTCTAAGCAGCAGCCCACAGCATTCTTGGGCCCCTCAAAAATAATAACATTCACAAGCACAGAACCTCACAGTTTATAAGGGGCTTCCTCAAACATCTCATTCCATCTCAGTAACCCTGGGAGGAAACCAGCCCAGGCTGGAGCCCAGCTGTTGCCTTCAGATCTGCCGAGAGTGCCTCAGTGCGTCCAGGCTGCTGTAACAGAACACTCTAGACTGGGTGGCTGATAAACAGCAGGGATCTATTCCTCACAGTTCTGGAGGCTGGGAAGTCCAAGGTCAAGGTGCTGACAGATTCCGTGTCTGGTGAGAGAACCACCTCCTGGTTCATAGATGATGCTTTCTCACTGTGTCCTCACATGGTGGGAAGAGGGCTAGAGAGCTCTGCAGCCCCTTTAATAAGGCCTCTAACCCCATTCATGAGGCCTCTGCCCCCATGACCTATCACCTCCCAAAGGCCCCACCTCCCAACACCATCACCTTTGGGGTTGGGATTTCAACATGAATTCTGAGGGGAGACAAACATTCCCACCACAGCAGAGAGCAGCAGTTTTGGATGCATACACAGCCCCCCTGCAAATCCAGCCTCTCCCTAGTTGCTGGATCTGCTGGAGCCCATGGCTTTAGCCTCATGGGAGTCTTGGCTTTCCTGCTTCTAGGAGGAGCAGCCAGACCACTCCCTCAAGAGCACTGTGGGAATGCTTTGCATGCGGTAGTGTGCAGGACGGTTCACGTGACCTTCCTTCCACCAGCCATTGGACAGATGTGAAACAGGCTCAGCTTTAGAGAGACAGACCTTGGCTCTAATTTGCTGTGTGGCCTTGGCAAGTTACTTGACTTCTCCGGACTTCACACTCCTCATCTGTAAAATGGGCTAACAATACCAGCCTGTGGGGTGCTGTCAGAAGTGAACTACCAATGCAGCGTGCTGTCTGCACTTAGAGGTTGGGGGAGCGGGGCTCTGGAACCAGACAGACGAGGCCTTGAATTGTGGCTTCATCCTTTACTACCTGTGCGGCCTTGGCAAGTCTGCACAATCCCCTAAGTTGAAAAAGCAGGGCTGGTAAGGCTTGCTGGGGTTATCCCAGGGATTCAATGAGGTGAAGTATGCAGAGTGCTTGGTTTGGGGCCTGGGGTTTGATAAACGCAGGTTTTCTTTCTTCCTCCCATGACACCTCTTTTGCTTTTTGAGGGACGGTAGGAAAGTGCGAAGCTCAGATGCCCTGAGAGACGTTGGTGTAAGACCCACCATTGCACCACTGTTGTGTTGAGAAACAGAACCTCATGGAGGCCAGGAGGAGTCCTTGCCAAGACAGCCGGGACTGTTGCAACTAGGCTCAGGTCCCCCACCTGTCCACTCCCCACATACATGCTGCCCCTGGTGTTCTCAACATACGCTATGTTACCCTGGGTTAAAATTAACGTAGGGCTTCTCTTTATAATTTTCAAATGCCCCTTGAGTTAACTGCAGATGGTAAGTGTGGCACTAAGTCCTAGAATGATGCAGAGCCAGTGGTGGACATTTGTCTTCTTCCTAAGGCAGATGAAAACGTTTAAAGCTAAATGGAGAAGGCCGGGCTTGGTGGCTCACACCTGTAATCCCAGCACCTTGGGAGGCTGAGGGGGAAGGACTGCTTGAGCCCAGGGGTTTGAGACCAGCCTGGACAACATGTCAAAACCCTGTCTCTTAAAAAACACAAAAATTAGCAGTGCTTAAAGGTGCATGCCTATGATCTCAGCTACTTGGGAGACTGAGGCAGGAGCTACTTGGGATCGCTTGAACCCAGGAGGTCAAGGCTGCAGTGAGCTGTGATTTCACCACTGCACTCCAACCTGGGCGACAGAGCGAGACCCTATCGCAAAAAATAAAATAAAATGCATAACTGGAGGAAGACAGAAATAGTAAAGGGTTGCCTTGTGATGAGCAGGACCAGAGGGAGGATGGTCGCTGGGTCCACGAAGCTCACGGTGAGCAGAGAGCAGCTGCCTCTGCTCCTGTTGGTGCAGGAGCCAGGCTTTCAAGGAGGCAGGATTGGGAGGGTAACTGCCTGAGGCAATGAGCAGTTGTGGTTCCTGCTTACATGGGCTTGGTTAGCACAAATTGTAGGGTTGAGACATAGGCAGATGGGGGTTTAAGCAGGCTTCTGGGGCCTAATCAGGGACAAGCAGCATAAAGAGAAAGAGGAAATTGGTAAATCATTCAGTCTTGTGACCTTGGACACACATCCTTGTGACCCTGGGCACCTTGCCTGTGACCCTAGATACCTAGCCTTTCCTGGGCTCCCAGCCTTATGACCTCGACGCTCACCCTTGTGACCTTGAGTACCCAGCCTTATAACCTTGGGTGCTCAGCCTTGTGACCTTGAGCTCTCAGCCTGTGACCCTTGGCACTCACCCTTGTGACCCTGGACACCCAGCCTTGTGACCTTGGGCAAGTCACTGATCCTCTGACCTTGGATCACAGGCCAAGTGGTTAAAGATGTTTAAAGACTCCAACAGGGTTTTGTGGCCTGGTTTTGCTCCGTACAGCCCTGCCTCCTGGAGACTATTCCATATTCTTAGATATTCACTGTTCATTTACGGGACTCCCTCTATGCAGCTGCACCTGGCCCTCACGCCTTAGTTCTTTGACCAACCCATGCCACGGCTTGGGCATGACACTCTCCCTCCTGCCATCTCGGTTCTTTCTGAAAGGTGAAGAGACCTGGAGTGGATGAGGGAAGTTCCAACTGCCCTGGGGAGCCTATATCCTCCAAGGGGCTGTGGGGAGGGTCCCAGAAACCTAGAGGGCTGAGCACTGCATTCTTTCCCACCTTATGCAGGGCCATTCAGCTCTTTTTCTGTACAATATTTCATTTGATTAAAGGATTCACTTAAAAAAAATGTTTCAGGGTGAGGCATTACAGTGGGATTACAGTGGTTCACATCTGTAATCCCAGCACTGTGGGAGGCTGAGGTGGGAGGATCGCTTGAGGCCAGGAGTTTGAGACCAGTCTGGGCAATAGGATGTGACTCTGTCTCTACAAAAATAATACAAAAATTAGCTGGGTGCAGTGGCGTGCACCTGTCCCCGCTACTTGGGAGGCTGAGGTGGAAAGATCACTTGAGCCCAGGAGATTGAGGATTTAGGAAGTTTCTTCCACTTCTAGAATTCTCTGATTCTAAATGAGAAACTAGGTATGAAAGCTCTTTGCGAGTTACAAGGGAGGATAGTTATGAAGAGAGGCACCTTATTGCTGTTGCAGCAGAGCGGCCTGGGGAAGGGCAGGCTGATGTCGAGATGACAGGTGGAAGAAGAAAGCAGCCATGGCGCGCGCCGGTCACTGAGCTGAGCACTCACAGGAGCCCCGCTCCATCCTCAGGACAGACCCCCCAGCACTCTGACGGGGCTTCGGGGGTGGGGTGTTGTGGGGTGGAGGCAGGGAGGCTGCTCTGCTCTCCCTCCACTCAGCAAGTATTTATTGAAACTCACTATGTGCCTGCACTGTCTGGGCACTGGGGAAATGCTGAACCAAACAGACATCAGCTTGCAGCCTCTTGGAGCTCACTTGCTACTTAAATATGTTCAGTCCCTCAGGGCTAAGCCACCCGGGCTGGCAGCTCAGGGTCCAGTACTCCCTGGACCTGGAGAAGACCTCAGCTCTGATGGCAGCCTCCCCCTCACCAGCCTCCCTGGGCCTTGCCATCTTCATCTGAGAAGTGGGGAGGATGCACTACCTCCGTCACAGGGTTTTAGTGTGGACTATGGCACTAAGTGAGGGCAGCGTCTAGGTGATGCAGGTTAGTTGAACTTTTGAAATGCCAGTTGTTTAAAAATTGATTTGTAGGAAGCTTATGGTCAAAGACAATCCAATTCTTTTTTTTTTCTTTTTTTTTGAGATAGAGTCTTGCTGTGTTGCCCAGGCTGGAGTGCAATGGCATGATCTCAGCTCACTGCAACCTCCTCCTCCTAGGTTCAAGCAATTCTCCTGCCTCAGCCTCCTGAGTAGCTGGGATTACAGGTGCACACCACCACGCCTGGCTAATTTTTTATTTTTAGTAAAGACGGGGTTTCACCATGTTGGCCAAGCTGGCCTCAAACTCCTGGCATCAGGTGATCTGCCCACCTCAGCCTCCCAAAGTGCCGGGATTACAGGCATAAGCCACCGCTCCTGGCCTGACAATCCAACTCTTTCTAGCAGAGTTTTACCCAGAGACTCCATATGCTGAACTGAAAGGAACCATCTCTAGATATGAGGGCTGTGAGTATGGTAGTGGTTCTCAAAGTGTGATTCTGGTCAAACCAGCAACAGCAGGAGCAGCAGCAGCACCACCCAGGGATTTGCAGGAAGTGCACACTCTCCGGCTCCAGGGTGGGACCAGCAGTCAGTGTTTAGCAAGCCCTTAGGCAACTCTGATGGACACTATAGTCTAGAATCACTGCCCAGGGGTAGACACATGAGTGATGCGCTAGGTTCCCTGAAAGAGGTGAGCACTGGGGCTTGGAGAGCTGGAGGGGTGGACAGGACAGGGAGCTTCAGTAGGAAGAAGAGAGGAAAGGATATTTCTATCCAGGGGAGGGGGAAGGAAATGCCAAAGAGAGAAGGGAGAGTCAGAGTGGAACTCTTGGGAAATACTCCCTTACTTAGTCATCTTGGATGTCAGAGTAAAGTAGGTCAGGCCTCGATTCTTAACATTTTATTTCTATGACTCCAGTAGTCATTACACATCCCCAAAATGAGGGCTCTGATCCCTAAACCACACACCAGCTGTACAGAAGCAACTGGCACAGGAAGTGGCAGTGTGGTGTGATGGTTAGACACACGGGCTTTGGCATCAGCTATGGGCTCAAATCCTGGTTCAGTCATTTACTAGCTGCAGGGCTTTGGTCTGCAGTCTGTTTTTTGTTATGGCCTTCTCCAGTTTTGGTACCAGGGATATTCTGGCTAATAAAATGAATTGGGAAGTGCTCCTTCTTAGTTAGTTCTGAAAGAATTTGTGTAAGATCGTTATTATTTTTTCCTTCAATGTTTGGTAGATCAGTGAGGCTATCAAGGCCTGGAGTGTTCTTTACGGGAAGGATTTTAATTATAAATTCAGTTTCTTTAACTATTAATAGGACTATCCCAATTTTCTTTTTCTTTTTGTGTCAGCTTTAGTAGTGTTTTTCAAGGAGTTTGTGGATTTCATCCAAGACATCAAATTTATTGGCATACACTTGTCCATAATATCCTCTGTTATCCTTGGACAAGTTACTGGAACATTACTGAGCTTTGGTTTCCTAATCTATGAAACGAAGGTATTGAAATTTCTACCTCATAAGTTGTTATGAGGATTAAACAGTCATTTAGGTGGAGTGTTTATCAAAGGTTCTGGCATATAGCATGTATTCACCTGTTCATTATTATTACTGATGGCCTCACCACATTCCAGTTACCTGCTGAAGACATGTACTGAAAAGTGTTTGAATTCTATTGCTTAATAGCTAAAACCTGGCCACACTGGATATTGTCAAAAGCATCATTCTGAGACTATAAGTTTACAAATTGCTGTTCCGTTTCTAGAGTTAAACTTGCTTCAAAATTTCTTTGAGAACATTTTACACTCTTATGGAACAGAGTGCCCCAGGGCTCTGATAGTCTCTAATTTCTTAAATAATCCATTCATTCACTCATTCAAAAAAGATTCATCGAGTGCCTACCATGTGCTTTCACTGTGGGATAGAAAGAGGAATGAGACAATGCTCCTGCCCTTGAGAATCTCACAAGCTAAGGTCCAGCCCCAAATGTGTTTTTGAATTATTTGATCCTTGCCACGAGCCATGAAATATGGGATTTTATGACTGCAATTATAAACAATTGGTTAATTATTTACAATCTTTGGAACCAGGCAGGCAAGAATGTCACCCTGCCCTTGCCACTGACTGCTTATGTGACCCTGGGAAATTTCCTAACCTCACTGAGCCTCCATTGC
The DNA here is from genome assembly GCF_000001405.40 of Homo sapiens. NCBI lineage: Eukaryota > Metazoa > Chordata > Mammalia > Primates > Hominidae > Homo > Homo sapiens. The sequence continues at coordinate 127,767,274 of NC_000003.12, read as the reverse complement.
CTCATCTAACAGGATGGGTGCAATAGTACAAATATTGAGAGATTAGATAAATCCAGGCTCCATGACAGGCACCCATAGATGGTGATGGTGATAGTGATGGTAATGAGTGATGGTGATGATGGAGAATATGAGGAAGGTAAGCCTTAAAGGATAATTTCCTAACTAGTTTTTTGGGGTTTTTTTTGTTTTTTTGTTTTTTTTTTTGATAGAGTCTCACTCCATCACTCGGGCTGGAGTGCAGTGGTGCAATCTCGGCCCTACCTGCAATCTCTGCCTCCCAGGTTCAACCAATTCTCCTGCCTCAACCTCCTGAGTAGCTGGGATTACAGGGGCATGCCAACACACTCGGCTAATTTTTGTATTTTTTGTAGAGATGTGGTTTCGCCATGTTGGCCAGGCTGGTCTTGAACTCCTGACCTCAAGTGATACGCCCACCTCAGCCTCCCAGAATGCTGGGATTACAGATGTGAGCCACTGTCCCCGGCCGTAACTAGTGTTTTTTAAAGAGGTAAACTAAGGCTTCATATTTGAAAGAAAAGAGCTCATTACAAATATCTTTTGTCATAAAAATTTATGTCATGTGGTTTTGCATTGATTATGGCACAACTGACTTCCAGAATCCTCTATAATGAACCAACAAAGCCACTGTCTTCGGAGTTCTTTGATGCTGTTTTTGAGGACACAGCACCCTTTATAAGAGTGCCCCTGCTTGGCTGATAAACAGGCCAGAAAGGCGCAGTTGGGAGGCGACCCTGTGCACAACTGAGGAAGTGGATTGGGGCTCCCACTCAAGAGAGGGGTTTGGCAGATTGTAAGGAGAAAAGAGCCAGGGGCACTACGAGTATTTTCTGAGTAGGATTTACTTTCAATAAGGTGCGTGTCTACATAGTTAAAATTAGAAATGTATACAATATTTGCAATAAACAGATTCAACAGCTATTATATGAGAACCTGCCGTGTGCTGGGTCAGTGCTGGGTGTGGAATGAGGAAATCACACAGACCTGGTTACTGCCTCAGGAATCCATGGAGACAGACATGCTTCAAAAGCAAAAGTAGTTGGTGGGGGGCTATTACGGGGTTCTGGCAGAAGTGTGCATGGGACATATGGGAGAGGGAGAGAGGGCCCAGACTACCTTTGGGAGTGATCATGGGGAAATATCTTCATAGGACATGACATTTGTGACGTTGGACAAGCTACTAAACCTCACTTTAAACTGGTGAGCCTCAGTTTCCCCACCTGTAACTCTAAGTCATAGTATCTACCTGGCGAAGATTAAATGAATGTCTTAGCTGCTAGCAGAGTGGCTGCTGGGCACATAGTAGGTGCTCAACAAGCCCCCATACTGTCCTCTTCCCCAACACACAGACCCCTGCTCTCCTCACCACACATTAGTCACTGGCTGAGAAGAGAAACTTTTTTTTTCAGTTCCCTGAAATTAAATAGACAGCCCCCATCTTTTCTATAGAAAGTTGTTCATGCTTCCCATGTTAGCTAATCTGGAGCGATGCGGCCACATGCGGCCGTTCCTGCGGGAACACTCTTCTTCATCAGCCTTCTGGGCTTCCCTTCAGTGATGTTGGGGGTACGTGTTTCTGTTCGTTTACCCACTGTTGAACTTGTTTTTAAAAATTTACAAAGTGGTTGCTGTGGCAGGTACAATGTGAACCCTGAGCTATTCACACAGGAATTGGGCACATTGTTCACTCAGCTTCACTGAAGTGACAAGAACACGTGGCTCTTCCGAGGGCCGCAGCAAGTGTGCCATCTGAATGCTGAATCGCAGATCTGTGTTGGGGGCTTTGGAAGCCAAATGGACACTCCTGGAGACCCAGCACCATCTCTTCTCATTCTAGTGCCCAGCGGCCTGATAATTTACCACCTGGTTATCTTTCAGAAGGAATTTACCCCAAAGGCGTAGTCATTCATTCAAAATTATTCATACGGTCTCTCAGATGAAAATATTTAAGGTTTCCTGGTGAGAAGAAAACAGACATCACTCTAGGTCCCCAGAAGAAGCCGTTTCTGAAGTGTTTAAATGAGTCACTTGTTGGAGGAGAAAAAAAGTCAAATTACTTACACGTGATCCTGTGTTAAAAAGAAAGACTGAATAATTCTAGGAAATGAAATTCTTCTCGGCACCAGGGATGCTATTTGCTGTGGTTCAGGAGCTGAGAAAAGATGTAGCTAATTATAACATATATGCAGGTTATATTTGGGTGTAGAACAAATAGGTGGTCCTTGTTGTCTGAAAGGCCTGAATTTGAGTCAGTTTAACCACTTATTTGCTATGTGACTCTGGGCAAGTTACTAACCTCTCTGCATCTCAGTTTTCTCATCTACAGTAAAGGATGAGTCAAAGTCTCTACCCCATAGGGTCAGTAGGGGGATTAAAAAGGAACCAAATGAGCTCCTCTATGTGGGGGGCCTGACCCACAGAGAGTACTCCATAAATATTGGCTATGTTGGGGTGACTACTTTTCCGCCTTAGGAAAACCTGATTTGACTCCAGTCACAGTTTCATGCTAACTAGTGTGGCTTCCAAATTTGAAAAGTGGTGTGATATTACCTACGGCATGGAGTATTTATAAGAATTCTCAGAGAGAGATGATATTCATATTTAACATTAATTAATATTTATCATATGCCTGATTATCGATGCAAAGCTTTTCAGACGTTGCCTTGAACCTCATTACAGCCTTGGAGTAGGTGTGGTAATTATTACAGATGAGGAGAGCACGTGAGCTTCCCAAACATGCACCTCTTCTCACCCACAGCAGAGCACAACTGTGGCCCGGGCCTCTCCTGGGGGCTTTCCGTCCTTCTTCTCTTTTATTCTGCACCACAAGTATATGGCCTTGATATCTGTACGCCCATTCTGCAGGCAGGGAGACATAGTAAAGTCACAAGGTGCTGAGAGGCCAGTGGGACCCCTTCCACTCCAGGTCTGCAGCCTCGTTCTCTCTGGCACGACTTCTTCCCCAAATGAGACAGAGTTGCCCTTTGTCTTTAGGCCATTAGGCTTCCTAGAACCCCAGGAGTCTGTGGTGGGAGCAGATGCTCACAGAGGAGAGTGTGTGCCCCTCCCAGGGCCCATCTTTATCATGTCAGAGGTGGGTTCCTGCATCTGAGAGGAAAGGGGAACACAGCTGGGGGTGGTATTCAGGCAACTTCAGCATCAGGCATGGGGTGCCACCCAGAGAGGCCATGTGATGGGCATTGGGGATTTGCAGCTTAGACAGTGGCATGCAAGCTCCGAGAAGCTGGAGGAGCGCCTGAGAGCCGGGAGGGAGGAGGGTGGAGGTGGAGCCTCTTGCTTCCACCCATGTCGGAACCTGGGTCTTCCTTTCCTGTCTTCCCAGCACGCAGCTGAGACTGCACACTGAGGTGGGTGTAATGACTACGGCGACATCAGTAAACTTAGCTGCTCCTTGAGGACAAGACCCATCTGCAGTTTAGCCTTACCTCCCCCTCCCCCACACAGGGGTTCAGTCTCTGGGAGAGTTTGAGGACGGGAGGGCAGTAGGAAGAGGAGAAGGGGCGGGAGGGGAAGGAAGGAAGCTCAGCGAGGCAGCACAGAGGGAAGGACCACAGTGGCCGAGCTTAGGGCACAGACAGAGGTCCACTCCAGGCCAGGTCAGGGGCTGGATTGGCCTCAGCACAGGTCCAGGTGGGGCTCCAGGGAGATGTCCCCACCCAGGTTGCTTGGGCAGGGTCCGAGATCCAGATGGCCGTGGCTGCTGTGGCAGGCCCCTTGGCAAGCAGAAGCCACACTGTGGCATGCTTGTGAGGGTCCCCCATTCTACTGAGTCAGAGCTGGCCTTGAGCCTGAGGGGCCCGTGCTACCACAGCAACTGGGTACAGCCCAGTGTTTTCTGCATCCAACCTGGCTTCGCGGGGCCAGAGGGTGAGAAGAAAACAGACATCACTCTAGGTCCCCAGAAGAAGCCGTTTCGGTCTTTGGCAGTTGTTGCTATCATCCTCAGACTGGCATCTTCAAATCCATCTTGGAGATGATGTACCCTCCGGAGCCTTTCTTTCTGGCACACCTGTCCCCTGGCTGCTGGGGCAGCCTGCACACTCACCGCACACCTGACATCCTATGAATCCACATCGCTGCACCCTGCCTAGGTAATAAGGACCTTGCATGGTGGTTGTTGTTTTTCTATCTCCAAATACTGAGTATTTCCCTAAAGACATTCAAGGAGGGTGGATCACACATCTTTCCCCAATCAGAGTGACACACTGTGATCCAGCACACATGAAGATCAAGGGCAAAGCTGGGGAGGCTGCCATGGGGGGAAGGCAGAGTCTGGAGTGACACTGGGTTCCAGTCCCAGCTGCAGGGCACAAACACAGACCTGGCCTGAGGCGTCCCCATCACATCTCCTGTCTGTGAAGTTGAGATGGTAATAATGGTACCTAGGTGTAGAGCTCCAATCTGTAAACTTACCATTGATAAATTGCTTGGAACAGGCCCTGGCCCAGAGCAGCATGCAGGAAGTGCACCTGTTACTACGTGCATACTCATAACTGAAGCTGCAGTAATGACCAGAACTGCTCTCATTTGATGGTCCCTGACAGAGCAGTGGGCTGCAAGGAACCTGCAACGAAGCCTCTGCCCCTCCCTTTCTCATTGTACAAGGGTAGGGGACAGACTTCGAGGTCCCACCAGTTGGTGGCAGTTTTGGACCCGGATCTCAGGCCCCAGCTCCCAGAACCAGGTTCTGTGCACCTCTCCACCCATTTCGTAAATTAAACTTCAAAATCACTCTGGCTGCAAGTGGACCAGAAGAAAGGACTCCTCAAAGGAACTTTAAAATAGGTAGGGTCAGGGCTGGCTTCGCTTTGACACAGCCCTTAAGAAAGGCTGGGGGTGGGAATGGGCAGAGTCTGTCTTGTGAGCTGAGCCTTTCTGAAGTGGGAGCTCAAACAGCATGTGACCAGGAAATGGCTGGCCCACCAAGAACTAAAAATAAACGGCTGTAATGCTGCCAACCGTCAGGGCAGGCGGGGAGGACGCGGAGAGCTCAGGAGCAGAGCCCAGTGGGGTCCTGCTCAAAATGAAAAGAGAACCGCATGCCGGCAGACAAGGTGCTTCATGTGTCACTAACGTGGAAGCAATAAACCACGACTGCACTGTCAGGCTGCCCTTTCTGAAGGGCTTCATATTCTCTATTTCATTTCATTTCATTTTCCAAGGCAGGTAAAGCCATCGTCATTTTCATTTTACAGGAGAGACAACAAGCCAGGAGTGGTAGAGCCAGGATCAGAATTCCAAATCACAGATCTATTAAGCTGTGTTCTCGGTGTCTTGGTTTCTCCCCTGTTAGAGGTAAAGGGAGAAATTAAAAAGCAAACAGAGGACCCAAACCTTGCATGGGATCCTCAGATGCAGTCACAACTCCCCGGCAAGTGCGCTGGGTGCACTACGCATATTTAGTGCTTGTCTGGGCATTTGAGAATGAAGCTCTGCCTGGAGTCCCTCCCTGAAGAGCTGGGGTCCCAAGGGCCCGGCCGATGAAGCGAGGAGCCGAACGTGCCAGGAGGGAGGCAGCCTGCGTGGCAGTCCAGCTCTGCCCACGGCCGGCTGTGCGCCAGCCCTCTCTGTGCCTCCGTGTCCTCACCAGCCAAAAGAGGAAACCCACAGTACCTTTGTGGTGGACTGGTGTAGCCCAGTCGCTTAGGGGAACACGTGGACACACACACAGAAGGCACTTGAAATGCAGCTTGAAGGGCAGTTTGCAGTCTCTGGTCCAGGCAGTGCAGAAGTGGCCTCTTTGACTGCTGTCTCTGAGTGTTCTGTGGCTTCCACCCTGGCTGTGGAGGTTAGTACTGCTTGCTGGAGAAGGAGGAGCCCTGGGGAGGCCTCCACCCTGGTCCCTCAAAGCTTCTCATCCCCACCCTAAACTAAGCCAGCACCCCCAACACAACACGGTGGCTCTAACAAGACACAGCAGCAGGGGAGAAGCCAGTTTGCCCAGTGGGCCCTGGAAAGTGACGCAGTCTGGTCATCAGCACCCCAGAAATCCCTCCCAGGCGGTGGGCCCCTTGATAGTGCGAAGGGTCCGGATGGCCACAGGGAATTGTACGTTATCTGAACACAGCAACTGGGGCCTCTGCTCTCCGCATCTGTGTGGCACCTTGCTCATAGCAGCTGCTCAGTGAAGGCTTGCAGAATTACAAGGCATTTCACAGAAATGATGGTTTCTTTGGATACGCTCAAGTTCACACTTGTGAATCCTGTATGTGTGGGTATGAATTTGGCCTGGAGGATGAGCCCTGTTTAAAGAAAATCAAATAACGCTTGCCCAGCTGGAAAAATCCATGACTTCTGTGCTAATAATTTTTTCCACGGATCACCCCATTTAATCCTACGGCAGCAGAGTAAGGCAGGCAACGTCCCTATGGAGGAAACAAGCTCAGAGATGCTGCCTGATTTATTCAAGCTCACAGTCATTAGGGGGCAAAGTCGGACTGAAATTCTTACACACTTGCACCTTGCTACAGTTTTAACTTTTGGGAAAATGCTTTGGGGTGCAGAGCCGCAGGTTCCATTGGACCAGCGCCCCCCAATCAGTGCTGTGCCTCTGAGCAGCTTGGCGTGGGGCACAGCCCCCAGGCGAGTGGCCCTGGGGTTTCTGCATCATCTGACAGAAGTGCCGCAGCGGCTCCAGGAATAGCTTGCGACGCGCAGTCTGTCAGGGGTGCCGTGCCAGCTCCTCACCTCGCCTCCTGCCAAGGCTCTGCTAGAAGATGCTCTGACTCCCAGAGGTGGCGCCTGAGCCTGGATGAGGGACAGAGCCAGCATCGGGGCTGACTGCAGGGGGAGAACAAGGTCCTTTCACCTTCATTCCTCAGCACCCACGTGCCCTGTGTGGCATGGTGTGAGCCCAGAGGGGTTGGTCCCCTGTTGACAAGTGGAGCTTAGCCCAGAGAGTTCTGTTATGTGAACCTGCTGGGTGGAGGCAGAGTGGCCTGGCCTACTCTTTATACCTGTGTGTCCAGGACAGTCACTTGACCTCTCTGAGCCTCAGATTTCCCATCTGTATGTTAGGCCTGAGGCTTCCTATGGAAACGTTAGCTCATAGGACCCCACACAAACTCAATGTCCCATAAATGGATGCTTCCACCCCTGTGTGGCTCTGCCCTTCCCTCCCGTCATCTTTCCTTTGCTTTTCTTTGAAAGCTGTGTGCACATCCAGCGCTCTCCCTGCTACACCACTGGCTTCCTTTCTCCAACGCAGAAAACCAAGCCGTCTAAGCAGGGCCTGCCCGCAAAGACAGTCAATGTGAGAGGCAGGGGCCAGCTGCCTCCTCCTCAGAGTCGTGGAGAAGTGCTGGATCATTCAGACCCCATAATCATAATTATTTCTCTCCTCAGTTATTGTACAGACGCCACCAGATTGGAAAAATCACTTAAAGGTTTTATTCAGTGGAAGCTTTCTTACCAAAAAAGGAGAATCATCTGAAGGCCAAAGGGACCGATTCCAAGGACCCTGTGTTGAGTGAGGGAGAAGGAGCTGGGCTGATCTGAGCAGGTAGGAGCTCTGCATCAGGCCACTCCTTCCTCCCAGTCCACACGAGAACCAAGAGTCTCTGAAGTCATCGGGATCTCTGGGCTCAAAGCATCTCTGTAAAGTGGCACTGCTTCTGTGAATTACATTCTCTCTTCCCTTCCTTGGAAAATGACCTCTAAGCAGGGGAAGGTGCAGTGAGACATGAGAACATGCCCACAGCTGAGATTTTTAAATGGCCGCAGGTGAACACAGACATCCCTCTTGAGCACGTGATTCAGAAGAGAGGCACACCCACCTCCAGTGAGCATCTACTGTGTACCAGGCACGGTGCTGAGAGCCTTGGTCACATCAGGTGTGGTAGGGGACCAAGGGAGGGGTAAGGACAGTCCCGCAGAGGTTGGAGATGTTAGCCAGGGTCACGCATAGCAGAGAGAAGGGTTGAGAGCCGCCTGACTCTGTGTCTCAGTTGCTGGGGTCACAGAATAGGAGAGCTGGTTTATAATAATGGACGCTGTGAGAAATAGCTGCCAGGGCCGGGCGCAGTGGCTCACGCCTGTAATCCCAGCACTTTGGGAGACCGAGGCAGGTTGATCACTTGAGGTCAGGAGTTCAAGACCAGCCTGGCCAACATGGCGAAACCTCATCTCTACTAAATACAAAAATTAGCCAGGCTTGGTGGCATGTACCTGTAATCCCAGCTAGCTACTCAGGACGCTGAGGCAGGAGAATCACTTGAACCTGGGAGGCAGAGGTTGCAGTGAGCCTAGATCACACCACTGCACTCCAGCCTGGGCAACAGAGCAAGACTCTGTCTCAAAAAAAAAAAAAAAGAAAAGAAAAGAAAAAAAAAAGAAAAAGAAAGAAATAGGTGCCAGGAGCCCCCAGAATATCCTTTCCTGTGAGGGTCATGTTTACAACTTACAGCCAGTGCACTTTTGCACATTTTCAAGAATGATATTTTTCTCCCTAGCAATTGCTTGTCATGATATGAAAAATCGACCCATTATCCCATTGTTTTTTATAACACATATCTGATTTTTAAAGACCCTTTTAAAGGGGAAGACAGAAAAGAAAATTACAGGTGACTTCCCCCATTCTCCTCGCTCGGTACAGCCGAATTGTTAGGAAAGGAGACTGGCACTTTGTCAGCACTAACAACGGAACACACCATTTAATTATACAAGGCTCAGGGGCTGCTCTAAGAGGGCCAAGCTGACCTGGGCTTCTGTCTAGCTTGAAAAACTTCTAGCTATTGACTTTTTGCAAGCTCCTTCACATCTCCAAGCCTCATTCGTGTATTTATTCATTCGTTCAGTCTATAATGTATTAGCTTGATGCCCAGTTACCAACTCCAGGCATGGTGCTGGGCACAGGAGATGCAGCTGTGAACAAAACAGACACAAGTCCCTGCCCTTGGCAGACAATGAGCAGCAATAAATGACTTTAGGGTATGTCCATTGGAGATAAGTGCCACAAAGCAAAATAAAACCTTGGAGGAGGAGGGCGGGGCAGTGGGGGCAGGGGGCCATGCTCAAGCTGCTGGCTCCACTGAGAAAGTGGTAGTTGAGCAAAGACCCAAAGGAGGCAAGGAGGAGCCTCACAGATGACCAGGGGAAAAGGGGGTGGCCAGTGCAAAGGTCCTGGGGCAGGAGGGTGCCTGACTCATGAACAGTCGGGAGACAGGAGGTGAGGTGAGAGGAGAGCACTGTAGGAGAGGAGACAGAGGTCGTGTGCAGCTGGCCACACAGGGCCCAGAGATCCTCAGTTTTCTCCTCTATAAAACAGGAACAGAAGCCCCCAGGCAGCTCCCGTACAGATTTGATGGAATAACATCAGCCAAGTACCTACAGGTGTGCTAGGTGCCCCACCAGTGTAAGCAAGTGTGCGTTTCTTCCCGGCACTCCTGTATCAGCAATCTGTTTACAAGGTGTCGATGACACGTGGCTGAACACATCTGGGTCAGGAGGACCCTGAGCTTGGATTCGGATCTACCCAGGTTGGGGTCAAGAAACACTCTCTCGGAGGCAGGTCCCCCAGCTTCGTGACACTGTCACAGCTTTCTTCATTGTCCCCAAGGTTCTTTGGGTGCTTTTTCTTTTAGGGAGTTCAATGAAGAGTTTCTTTCTCTGGTGTAGTCACTTCACTTGGAGTTACGATTCCTGCTGGAGTTGGCAACTGGGCATCTAGCTAATCTCAGTGTTCTTTGAAAGCGGAGAGTTCCAGAGCTAAGTCATCAATTTCTTGAAGCCAAAAGCCATCTCACTGGTTGTATATATGTGTGTGTATGTCTGTGTGCATGTGTGTCTGTGTGTATTATATATTATATACAGGCACTGGGATATGCCTAGGGCAGTTTCTAATTTAAAAATTAGAAATCAATAAATATATGTAGATTGCTGCCTTCCCGACTGAGCCAGTAGTTACTGCAATAATGCTGCATAACAAATACCCCCGAAACTCAACAGCCTAAAACAACAACTCATGCTTTCTCCTGTGTCTGTAGGTCAGCTGTTTTAGGCTGGGCTTGGCTGGGTGTGGCTCCAGGCCTCAAGTTGGGTTCGGCTCTCTCCACATGTCTGTCAGCTTCCAGGGACAGTGGGCTAGGAGAGTCATGTTCTTTTCTAGGACAACAGCAGAAGCTGTTGATGGTGGTGATGATTTTTAAAGTCTGCACTCAGACTTTCTTACCATCACTCTGTCCACCTTCCATTGACCAAAGCATGTCACATGGCCAAGCCCAACATTTATTTACAGGGTGGGGACAGTGGGGACAGATATTCTTCACCTGGTGGGAGGACCTGAAGGGATGTATGGCAAGAAACATGGATGGAGGAGGTCTTCCTAGGAAGACGAGGGCCCCTCCTGCTACTGACCTAGGTCTGCGTCATCAAGGGTAGCAGCCATGGTGGTTTTAGACAGCATGCAGGCAATCACTTTTTTCTTATTTATATGTATTTATTTTATGATTTCTACATCAGTTAGGAATTAAGTTTGACTGCTAGAAATAAAGACTAGTTGTAACAGTCAATTACACAAGAAAAAGGTTTATTTCTCTTCTGAAAAGAAGTCTGGAGATAGGCCAGGCCTGTGTTTGAAAATGTAGGTTGTATTGTGATTCAGGTATGGTGAGGCCAACACATCAGGAGAGGCTGCCATTGAAAAGATAGTTTGTTCCTCTCAGTTCCCAAGAGAAGGGGCCACAGCATACCATGGGGGCATGTGGGGAAGCACCAGGGCTGATCGGGGATGGGTGAGATGGGGTGAGCAGGCTTAGAATTAGCCAGTTTGAATGATTTTGTGGGCTCTGGGGTGTAGGGGCTTCTGGCATCTGGCCCTGGGGTGATGAAAGCAGAGAAATATTGGCCTGGAGTGGAGGTGTGGGCTCTGGACCAGTTAATTTGCATAGGAAAGATGTGCTTCCCTGTAAGACCTTTACTATCTCTAGTAATTGGCTAGCCCTAGAACAGGTAATTTCCCCAGTCAGCAAGGCCCTAGATGCCAAAATATCAGAATAAAAAGACATACTTAATACTTGGAGTAACAGCTCCATTATTTTATCAAGAAACCAACTTCTTCTATCTGCTCCCCAACCCTTAGAGCACCTAGCTTCATTTACCTCTTTGCCCAAGATGGCTGTGAGAGTTCCAGCCATCACATTACATTTATATTTCAGACATAAAAAATGATACCTATCTTCCACTTAAGAAGCCTTTCTGGAAGTTCCATCTATCCATGCCATCCTGTGTCTCAATGACCAGGAGTTAGTCCCATAGCCACACTGATTGCTAGGGAGGCTGGGAGGTAGAGTGCTCTGCCCAAGCACATTGCCAGTCTGAATAAAATCAGGTTTCAGTTACTAAGAAGAAAAGAGAGAGTGGATATTGGGTAGACAAACGGCCATGTCCACCAGTTACTCTGTGTTTATGGGAAGTGACAGATTTTCTACAAACAATAGTCATAGAAAGTGTCTTTGATAAATACATCAATTTAAGGGGGCGAGGGAACATGAGTGTGTAATTAAGAAGTATATTAGGTAAATAATAATACAGGTGGTGCGCGAAGATTTGGTGACTCTGCCCGGTATATCTGGGGAGACAGAAGGTTGGATGCATTCTCTGGGGCCCGCAGTGGGGCCCCTTGTCCTCGTTCGGAGCAACAGGCACATGTGCCAGTGTCCCGGCTGCACTGAGTCTCGCCGCTGCATGTGGTCCGCCCTTGTGACCGTGCACCTCCCACCCACACGCATTCATAAGCAACCTTCTCCTTGTCCTTGTCACTGAAAACCCATTGACCTACAACTGGCATATCGTGTCTCCCATGTTTGGGGGCCTACAGCGATGGATTGCTGGGTAAGGGAAGGAGCTGAGACCCCAGAAGGCAGGCTGGGTGGGAGAGGCATGCTATCCTTTATAAAGCTGTGAGCAGCTGTTTAAACCCTTCCATTTCTTTAAACACCCTCTTCCTCCTTTTACAAGAGCGTTGAGTCTAGCTCACGTGAACAGTTTCATCTTTGGTTTTTCCCTTGTTCCCAGGTCACAGTGGCTAATGAGAAGTGAAATCATTTGAATCCAGGTTTTATCTTCTCCTTTTCTCTCTGGGGTTGAGCAATGCATGGGGCATCCCCTAGTTGACGAGGCCGTGTGGGCAAAAAGAACAGCCCCCGCAATGGCAAGGACCTTTCCCCCGGGGATGCCACAGCTCGTGACTGTGCAGAACCAAAAAATGCCGAGAAAACAAACATAAAACACCCCCACCATCTCGTGGAAACCCGCGTTCCTCCCACACAATCCCTTCTCTGGGGCGCTAGGTGAATTTGAAAGGGAATGCCACGTACCTAGGGAACGCTTCCCTCTAAAGAGCCTGGGACACGTGGGCATGAGTGCACACACCTAGAAATACAGCTCCCAAGATGCACACCCCACGCGCCCCTCTCTGATGACGTTCTCGCTCTCTGGTGTGGTTTTCTCAGCAGCTGCGGGGGAGGCACACGGGAAGGCCACTGAGGCCTGGGTGGAGATCCAGCGTGAAGCCTACGCTTTCTTGCCCTCCGACAAGGAAAACCCATCCTCCTGCCCGACCCAGCCTCAGAAGCACACCTGTAGGTGCCCACTGGGACCAACAGCCTGAGTGGTGAGAACAGACCTAGAGGCTGTGGATCCCAGCCCGCCAGCCCTCTCTCCTCTCTGTGCCTCAGCGTCCACCCTGGTGAAATGGACACAGGCGGTACTGCTGCCTAGCGGGGCCGTTGCAAGTACTCATCCAGTTAACGCCGGTGAGGGGTGAGGCCCTGTGTAGAGTTGAGGTGCGTGGAGCAGAAGGGGAGGCCCTTCCCTGAAGACGGCTTGCAGTCCTGGAAGGCACTTGTGTGGAGCTTTTGATAGATCTGGTTTTTTTTTTCTTTCTTATTTTGCCTTTTATGGTTGTGGGGGTGACAGCAGGACTGATTCCCTAAAAGGGAGAGATTTTCTCACTTAGTCTAAGCACCTCCTTCTTTTCAGGGGAACTGGGAGTGAGCTTGGTGGGGAGTGGGCGGCAGTGCCTGGCGGGTCGTGACCTCTGAGTTCACAGAGGGAAGCCCCTGCCCTGCCAAGGAGGAAGCTGGAGAGTGAGGCCAGGGCCTGGGTGAGCGGGAGGCTGTGGCCTCCTCCGTAGAGTGCAGCATCAGGCCCCAGCGGGCCACCACCCAAAAGTGACCAAAACAGAACAGGGTGCCAACAGAAACAGCTACTGTGGCTACAGAATGGGCTAGGAGTGCAGGGCGCTGACAGCTGTGACGAGGCTGGTGGGAGGAAGTGACCCCTGAGGAAGACAGGGCTTACACCTGGTGCCTCCCATGCCAAGTCAAGGGTGGGAATGGAGACCCATCACCAAGGAAGAGTGTTGGGGTCCTGTAGGGCCGGTGGAGACCTGCCTGTGCTCTGGACCAGGCTCCTTTGCCATCTCTAGCTGTGTGGCCTTGATTCAGTCATTGGGCTGTTTCTGAGCCCAAATGCAGAAGGAACATTTGTAGATGGAACATCTCCTGCTCTTCTTGCCCCCTGTAGACTATATGCCGACCTTATTAGTGTGGCCATTTTAAGCGAGGAAAGTGAAGGCCACAGAGGTTATGCTGTCTGTGCACAGCTACCCAATCACAGAGACAAAGCTCAGGCCCAGGAGTGCCTGATGCTGATTCGATGAGGCAAGGTCTGCAGAAGCGCCCAGCACGTCAGTTGACATATGTTGTGTTCTCAGCAAACGCTGGTAGAATCCGTGGAATGTGACTGTGGGAACAAAGAGCTATGCCAACTTGGAAACCCATGGGCAAGGGCCATTTTGTGCAGGGACAGATGGCCTCACACCTAAGCCCTGAGAACATCCCTGGGTTCTGAGAGTATGTTAAAAACTGGTCACATCAAGGACCCAGCATCAGCAGGGAAAGGGCACATTATCGTCACTATGGTCTGCTTTGGGTGAAGGGAATTCATCGTCGACACCTGCAGCCCCTCACCTGTCCAGAACACTCACCATCCAGGTTGCAGGAGAGTGACTGGGTGATAGGCTCCTAGAGATGCTGGGGAGGTTGCTCTGCAGCTCTTCCCTGTGTCGTTACTTCTCTTCTGGCTTCTTGTTTTCTTTTGGGGCTTCTTTTTTATTTACACCTTTGACTATTGTGTCTCTCATTTTTGTAATGATTCCTCTTACAGCCTTCTGTCCATACGAATCAGGTGTTCCTTTTATAATACAACAGTAGAAAATCTTTGTTTTTCCCTGTGCAGGACCATTGACTCAGAAAAAAATCAATCAAGGGCACAACAAAATGACTAAATGGAGGGTGATTTCTTTCCCCTCTTAGAAAAATATAGCCACTTCAGTGCACATTCACTTTAGATTAAAGCAGGAAAACTCTACCTGACAAGCCCCATGCTAGGTGCATTTCAGGCTCGGGGAAGAGATGGTAAGGAGGCAGCCTGAGAGCGGTGGGAGGTGAAAGACCCAGGGCTGGGGAAGCTCAGCCGGTTTTGCAGAAAGGGTCAGTTATTGGTCTGTGGATTTTGGGAAGGTTCCATCTGCCACCGTTTTCCTTTAAATGCTCACTTGACCAGGGATGCCATATCTCTGCTTGCTCACTAAAGGGATCTGCCGCATATGTACAGAGAAATAAACCTCATTATCATGAAAAGTTGGGAACAACTCACATGCCCATGAGCACAGGAAGAGTCAGATAAACTAAAGTACTGTCATCCTTTGCCATGATTAAAAAGAAGGAGTTAGGTCTATAATTCTGGCTATGGAAAGGCCTCCAAGACCTGTTGTTAAGGGAAAAAAATAAAGTGCTGTTTATGGAAAGAAAAAGAAGGCCATAAAACAAAATGACGGCCGGGCGTGATGGCTTATGCCTGTAATCCCAACACTTTGGGAGGCTGAGGTGGGTGGATCACTTGAGGTCAGGAGTTCGAGGCCAGCCTGGCCAACATGGTGAAACCCCATCTCTACTAAAAATACAAAAAAATTAGCTGGGAGTGGTGGCAGGCGCCTGCAATCCCAGCTACTTGGGAGGCTGAGGCAGGAGAATTTCTTGAACCCAGGAGGCAGAGGTTGCAATGAGCCGACACTGGCCATTGCACCCCAGCCTAGGCAAGAAGAGTGAAACTCCGTCTAAAAAAAAAAAAGTGACACAGAGCTGAGACATGAGTGTGAGTGTGTAGGAAAAAGTCTAGAATACACATCAAAGTGAGAGGATTGGTCACCTGAGGGAATAGTGAGACTGCGTACATGTATTTTGTTACTTTAAATAACAATTTGTAAAGCAGTAGATGCAGTGCATGTTAACCAAGCATCATTCACGGCTTTTCACCTGCCACAGTGCTTGACCTCTGAAAGGCCCACTGTGAATTGGAAAGCCCAGATGCCCATCATGGTAGAGCCACCCTTTTGGCCAGAGCCACAGATTCTAAAATGAAATTCTCTGAGGGACAGTTTCAATCAAGCCAAAAGTGTTTTTAGTTTTATTTTATTTTTTGGGGTTTTTTTTTGCCCAGGTACATCTGTGACAGTAACCAGTTAATCAATTAGTTACAGCTATGTAACAAACCACCCCAAAACTTACCGGCTTCAGACAACAGCCATTTATCTATCTCATGATGCTTCAAGCCAGTGCATGCGTCTGGGCTCAGCTGGGCTGTTCTCTCATCTCAGCTGGGCCCCTCACACATGTGTGGTCAGCTGCAGGTCGCATGGCAGCTGTGTCTGGGAATCATCTGGCTGTTGGCTGGGGTGACAGATGCAAGAGAGGTGACTAGGATGTGTCTCTGATCACCCAGTAGGTTAGCTTGGGCTTGTTCACCTGGTGGCAGCAGGGTTTCAAGAGACCAAGCAGAAGACGCAAGACCTTTCAAGCCCAGGCTCAGGCGTGGCACACATCACCTTTGCTGCATTGTGTTGGTCCGAGTGAGTCACAAGCACAGACTCCAGCCTTGCTGGGAGGAGCTGCAGGGCACTTTGCAGAGCGGCATGGACAGGTGCAAATGGAAGGAGGAGGGGGAGTTGAAGCCATTTTTGCAGTCAGCCTACCGAATGACCGAGAGCAGTGTGTTTCAGAGAAGGCAACAATGGCAGAAGATAATGAAAACCATTCCTGGGAGCTATTTCTGATCTTCGCTTTTCTCCATCCCAGGGATGTCTCAGTGGTGGTGGTGATTGTCTTGAGGCTGTAATCCAGACACCCAGAAACACCACTGCTATGGCAGGGCAATGCCAGATCAGTGATCCTCACCTCTGGTCCCTCCACACACTCAGCTCATTCATTTTCACATCCTCAACTGCCAGCCTTGCCCCTGGCAAGTCCATTTAATGCATGAAGGCACTAACTCCAATTACAGTGGTTTCTCAAGAGCAGATATGACTGTGGGCTGATTCAGAGCCAGCTGGTTTTGTCTTCATGCTTTCTGTACTGTGCATATGTACAGTTGCAGTTTGGGGGTAGGGAAGCCTTTATTTTTTTCCCCTCATGACAAAATACCAGTTCATTGTAGAAATCTTGGAAAACCCAAAGGACAAAACAATTAGCCTTCACTCAATTACTCAGAGAAAAACAGTACCCATTTTGTGGCATATCCTTTCAGTGGTGTGTGTGTGTGTGTCAGTGTGCGTTTGCCCGGGAGTGGAAATGACTGAAACCTGTGGTTTGCCAACAGAATGGACATCTGTTCCCTGTGAGTCCCAGGGGCCCTGGCCTCCACCTGCTGTTTGGGGCTTTCTCGGTTTCCTCCACCATGGTTCTCTCTCCCTCGTTTTTGCACTACCCTCTGTTTTTTGATAAGCTGCTTCTGAAGTTAGAGAATGAGAGTGCAGCCTTTGAAGCGTGACGGGAGATGTGGAGACCGTCTCCTTGGCTGCGCAGATGAAGAGGCACGTGGCCTGCCCGAGGCCCCCAGTGAGCCGGGAGCAAAACTGGATCTCAGTTCCTAGCCCAGTGTCCCAGACCACCTTTTATGCCCTCCTTGTCACTCAGATGCCTTCTCCACAGCAAACCCAGAAGAAACGGTGCCCTGATTACACCAGGAGACGAACGGGACACAGAAGTAGCTTTCTCAGCAGGGAGCCTCTACCCTCACCCCCGCAGTCTAGTCCCCACACACGGGCAGAGGGATCCCTTCAGCCCAGATGAGACCATGGCCCTCCTCAGCTCCCACCACCTGTGTCTCCCACCTCCCTCGGGGTAAAAGTCAAAGTCCCCAAGAAGCCTACAAGGCCCCCGTGACCTGGCCCCATCTCTCCCTGTCCCTGGCTCCAACTCACTGGCCTCCCCTCTGTTCCCACCTACTGGGCCCATTGGAATCTTCAAACTTGCTGTCCCCTTTGCTAGGAACATGTGTCCCCAGATGTCTGAATGGCTTGCTCTGTCACCTCCTTCTGGTCATTACTAAAATATCACCTTCTCAGCTAGGCCTCCTCTAAAACAGTAAACCCCCTCGCATAACACACATACACACGCACCACATACCCGCTCCCTCCAGACTGCCAGTGGTCAGACTCGCTTTAGATTTTCTGTGTTTATTGTCTGACCCCCACCATGACAAAGATCTGTACTGATCTTGTCATGAGGGGTGTGTATAAGGCCCTCTTTCTAGAATCTGCTCTGGGCCACAGGATGAGAGGCACTGGCGAGGGGTGCAATGTCCACTGCTGAATGCCAAACCATCCCCCCAGCACACAGCAAGTGCTCAGTGAGTAAGGATGAATAAAGGATGGAATGTGGAATGCGGGAGAGCTAGAAGTAAAGGAATAGAAGAGGGCACTGTGCACTTTTCCTTTTATAATGAATGGTATCTGAATTTGTAAATTCTAATTCCTTACAGCAGAAAGCTCTGGGAAGCATTTGCTTTATTTCTTTCAATCAGAAAATGGTGTTTGTTTGGAGATCTTGGCTAGATGCTGCACTTCCCAAGTTCTGATGAAAATGTTCTTTATTTCAGAGTAATGGGGAGGTTCCAGGATGAAGTTTTCTGATCCAAAAGTCAAGACAGTCACTAATAAATAAATAGAAGAGTTGAGAATTTGAATGAATACATGGAGAGTCTGCGGCACGCCAGGCCCTGTGCCAGCCCTAGAGAGGAGTCCTCATTCCAGTGTCGAGAGGCTCCGACTTTGCCCAGATCACAGGCATCTCGACACATTGCCAAACCCAGGCTTCAGCATGCTTAGTAAGAGAGTGATCAGGGTTGTAGACACAGAGAAGAGGGAGCACTCCCTGGGGAAGGGGGCAGAGGGCAAGGTGAGGCTGCACAGAGGAGGTGCTATCTACAAGGGTTTTGAAGGTTGAATAGAAGTTTGTGAGGTGGGCAGAGGTGGGCATCATTCCAAGCAAAGAGAATTACATTTGCAAAAGAACAGAGTCACGTGGCAGTGAGAGTTGTGGAGGGAGCTGCACACCACTCGGGGCTGTTGGAGCGTAAATGAAAAGATGCTATGTGTATGAGTCCGCTAGGGCCAGCATAACAAAATTCTACAGACTGGGGAGCTTCAACAGCAGGGATTTATTTTCTCACAGTTCTGGAGGCTGAAAATGCAAGATCAATGTGTTGCTAGGGCTGGTTCCTTCTGAGGCCTCTCTCCTTGGCTTGTAAGTGGCCGTCTTCTCCCTGTGTCCTCACATGGTCCTCCCCATCTAGTGTGTACATTTGGGTTATAGTGGATTAGGGCCCACCCATATTAACTTCATTACCTTGGCAAAGACCTTGTATCCATTCGGAGGTACTAGAGGTTAGGGCTTCAGCCTGTGAATCTGGGGAAACAGCTCAGCCCATAACACCAAGATAGGAATATCTCTCTCTCTCTCTCTCTCCCTCTCTCTCTCTCTCTCTCTTTCTCTCTCTCTCTCCCTCCCTCCCTCCTCCCTCTCCCACCTCTGTTGTGTGGTCTCTCTCTCTCTGGGGAATGATCAAGGATGGAACAATGTCAACAGACTGCGATGCGTAACCCTCAGTTGAGAATGACTCGGATTTAATTCGAATGGTCCTCTGAGTGTCAGGCGCCTCTTTGTGGTGTGGAGAGGAGGCCACCCTAGTCTGGGTAGGCATGCTTTTATGGAAAAATATTAAACCAGCCCTGCCCGTGTTAGTCAGATCCAGTGAGGGGCGTTGCAAGTTGTTTTATATTTGTTTTGGATTACTTTCAACACTTGTCCTAGAATGCTCCGAGTCTCTTGCTAATGAGTTTTCCTTTACTTAATACCAGACGCTGTGGCTCCTCCCCGCGTGAAATCTCACGTGGACTTGGGAAGAGAGAGCATCTGTCCCCATTTGACTCATTTTCAACACCAGGTCCCCGAGTGCCAGGTTGTGGCCAAATCCTGTTCCAGTGGGAGGACCCCCCTTCCCTAGGATGTGGCTGAGTCACTTGTTTGTGCAGGCTCAGGAGTCTGGGAGCCACCCCAGGGACCACAGGTGTGGAAGGAGAAGCCCGCTCCAATCACGGTTTCTGGGCGTCACCTTGGAGACAGCAGCTGAGGAGCTCAAATAGGTGTTACCGTGGAAGCTCCTGTCTCAAGGGAGCCTGAGGTTTTCTTTCCCAAGTCTGTAGACAGCCACTTGATGGAAATGATCATACCTGTGCCCATTTGCGTTGGGCTGGACCAGAGACCCTGTGCTTACAAGTCTCCGTGGCCTCTTAGCTGCCCTGGAGGGAACCTCTTGTTCTGTGACTTAAGAAACCACAAGCTCTTGTCCTGATGAGTTCTCTTATTCTTGAGAATCTGTGGTGGGCCTGGTACTTTCTAGGTGCTGGAGATACAAAGACACCACAAGGCACCCTGCCCCTAAGGAGCACACAGTCCAGCAGGGGTCTGTAGTAGACCCTGATTATGCCATCCTGTGATAACACTGGAGTTGGACCTCTAGACACACAGGAGAAGGCTGGGGGTTTTTCTAGGGGAGAGACAAGACACGCAGATGTTCCACAGGGTGGAGGGGTGTTTCAGATGGAGCAGGTGTGTGTGCAAGGCCCAGGATGTGCAGGAGTGCAAGGATGGGTGAGTGGTTGCTGCCTGGAGGCCTGGGATGGTGGCCTTGGGTCACTTCCCCTGAGTCCCAGACCAAATCTCCAGATGTTCCCAACAGCCCATCAAAGAGCAGGTACTGAAGAGGGGGCTGAGGAGCTCCTTATGTCCACTTAAGTGGAGGGACAGAGACACAGTACAAGAGAAGGGAACAGAGACAGGGACACACAAAGGCAGACACAGAATGACCCACTTGTGACCTCAGGTGGCTCCATCAGCAATCGAGAACAGGGCTGAGTCACTTGTTTGCGCAGGTTCAGGAGTCTGGGAGCCACCCCAGGGACCAGCTTCCTAGACCCCGTCCCCTGAGGAAAATTCAGGAAGGAGGAGGGAGGGGCAGGGTTATCTCCTCCCCAGGCCCATGGACTGGGTGGATCTTGTGGAATGCACTGGGCTGGAGGGAGATTGGGGGCTGGGGGTGGGGAGAAGGGCTGGAAGGCCAGGGAACCAGCCCCAGTAGACGAGAGGGAGGCTCCCTACGGGAGTGGCAGAGGACAAGAAGGATGGCGTGCATGCCTCTGGAGGGAGTGGACGCAGAGGGAGACGGAAGAGTGGAATGTGAACCTGCAGTTCTACCCCCACAAAGACAGGGGGTGCAGCTAGAGGTCCAGGTTGGGAGGGGAACATAACTGGTTCCAGACAGGTGGGAAACATAGGGGTGGGACCTGGAGCCAAATGAAACAGAAACCAGCCCAGGGATCACACCAGGGTGTCTTAAGTGTTCTGTGTGGATGAGGCCCCCAGAACCAGAGAGAAAAGGGAGGGCAGGGTGGAGAAGGGAAGATCGTGGCAGGGTGAATGGGGACCGCCTGGGGGCAGTTGAGGCAGGGTGGATCTGTGAGCCCAGGACAAGAGAGTGCTGTGAGCAGTGCAGGGGGGACTGCCACCTGCCCAGGAGCCACGAACAGCTTGAAGGCAGCCAGAAATGTAGGAAGGACGCTGTGCAGAGCTGCCATGTTAGAAAACTCAGGAGCCATGGCCGCATGTTTGGGGCTTGTTTTCTCCCTGAAGGAGAGTCAGGAGGACGTGCTCATTCCCGCTGGCCTCAGCTCCATCCTCACCATCCCAGGCGTTCTCACAGGCTCCTCTTCCCCAGTCTCCCTGGCCGGTGCTGTTGGCTTCTCAATCTTCCATCTCTTCCATCTCCACCTTCCTTGTTTCTGTCTGGGCCCCCATCTCCCAAGCTGCTGTCACTCATTCTATTCAAACTCTGTTCTTTGCCTTTACTTCAGTAAAGTCAAAATAACTTTTGTTAACATGGTGCACAAAAATGTAAAGTTCCAGCGCCAGTCTTGTGAAGGGTCAGTCCGTTGTGCAGCCTTCCCCTTCCATGCCCCGCCCCTGTGCCTTCTGTCCCCACTTGCAGGGATGGCAGCTGTGACACCAGTATGGGGGCTGGGACTCTTTCAGGGCACAGCTTTGGGAAAGCCTGTGTGGCCTGAGCAAGGCAGCTGCATCCCAGAGGATGGATGGACACTGCACCAGGAACCCCGGCATCCTGAAGCAGGCTTTCTTTTTTATTATTATTATTCATATAAATGTATGGGTACAAGTGCAGCTTTGTTACATGGATATATTGCGTGGTGGTGAAGTCTGGGATTTTAGTGTACCATCCCCCAAGCAATGTACATTGTACCCATAAGTCATCTCTCAATCCCCCATCCCCCATCCTTCCACGCCTCCAGTGTCTGTCATTCCACCTTCTATGTCCATGTGTGCACATTATTTCACTCCCACCTACAGGTGAGGACATTCGGCGTTTGACTTTCTGTGCCTAAGTCATTTCACTTAAGATAATGGCCTCCAGGTCCATCCATGTTGTTGCAAATGACAGGATTTCATTCGTTTTGAGGACCTAGCAGCATTCCGTGTATAAATGCACCACATTTTCTTTATCCAGCCATCTGTTTATGGACACTCAAGTCGATCCCTGCAAGAACTAAGCATGAAAGGTGGAGAAAGGAAGACTAGCATTTTTTGGATGCCTACTGTGTGACAGGTGCTTTCACTTGCCTCCTCATTTAACCCTTTCAGCAATCCACTCAGTAAATACCCTGGCCCCGATGGCGGCTTTCACTGATGAGGAAACCAAGGATCATAGCGGTGGAGACGTTTGCAAGGTCACACAGCTAAGACGTAGCAGCTGTGGTCTGTACCCGGATCTGATGCCATTGCCTGCCTGCTTTCTGCTGCCTTCCAGGGACTCTGCCGGTCAGCAGGTGTATGACAGAAGCATATATATTAGCCAAAACATGGTCTCTGTCATCTGTTTTCTAACTCAGATAAAGGTGATCTTAAGGACGTGGACAGCACAGTTTAGGATCAAATGTTCTGCAAAATCTGGGTCAGGTCAGGAATTTACCTAATTTGACATATTGTTTCCGACTCCTTTGACATTTCTCTTCATTTGGTTCTGAATATACAGTATAGGAGATTTTTTTCCTATTAAACCGTGTCCGGCGGTGTAAAAGCTCTTGGGGTTGCTGATCTCATGGAGCTCTGCAGTTTGCCTCAAGCAATTCTTTGGACTTCACAGAGCATCCTGTTATTTTGTTACAGACTTAATTCCTTGATCTCATGCATCCTGGAAGTTTCTAGTGGCAAAAGCCTCTCCCCACTCTGCAGCTGTCACTTATTTATAAGCCAGAGGCACTTTCTGTATATGCAACTTTCATCATAGAGCTCTGAGAGAAAGGTCTGGCATTTCTGGATGATTCTGGCCAACCCAGAGCTGCACAGAGCCCTAACATTTCATGAGAGAGAAAATCAACAGGAGAATGGCCACTGTGGGCATGACACGTGGCAATGTGATCGCTAACCCCACGGAACCAGCCACTTACCGCTTTCTGAAACCCAGATCGTCATCCCGCAGCGTGATACAAAAGGAAGATCATCTTGCTAGATGCCAAGAACCGTAGTTATGACACTTTTTGTCATTCTGTTTCCTCTTATTTATACAGTGGAGAGTAGGATGTTTTCAAATAAACCTTCTAAATATGAAATCCTGAGAATGCATTACTTCAAAAATGCTGCACCGTTAGCAGCCTTTTAGTTGGTTACATTATAAAGCATGTAGTAACAGCTTAAAAAAAAATTCTGAGTCGAAATGTGTTTCCAGAGCCCATATGCTGAATTCTGGCATCTTTATACCTTTTTCAAGCTGTTGTCAATTAGTAAAGAAATTAATTTCTGCCTTTATCTCTCTTGTAAAGCCGAGCTTGTGCTTGGATGATGCAGAGAGCCACAAAGGGAGACATCCTTCCTCGCTCTAAGGTAACTCAGTGCAGTGGTAGTCGGGGGGACGAAAACATGTTGTGCTGAGTGGCCGTGGATTGAAACTGGGACCATCAGCAAACAGAAGAGAAGGAAATGGCTTTTGTTGAGGGAAACAAACTGTTTTCCAGGCCAACAAGCTGTGATCTTGGACTTTTTGCCATCTGTACATTTTTTAGAAAGCGAGAAAAGCAGAGCCCCTGTGGTCATACGCTCTTCCTTGCCCTGGAGAGGGAAGGGCAGCGTGTAGGGGTGGCACGCAGTTCTTGTCTAACACATTGCCTCTCCGGCCCCTTCTACCTGTGACTTTGAGCCTCCCTTTGTTCCAGTACTCTCTGCTTGGACTTTTTTTTTTTTTTTTTTTTTTTTTTTAGCATTAGTGGAATGTGTCGGCTGATGGCCAAACATAGTTTTGTAGTGGCAGCAAAAAGGGACAGACCTATGGCATTTCATCTAAGGAAGCGGTTCCTTTGCTTTTAATTTGTCATTGGTCTTATTTCCTTATACTTTGGTATATAATGCCCTGCTATTGGATGTCGCAGGAGCATAGAAAACAAACCAGGCTTTCATTAGGAAAGTGTGTTTTTGAAACAATGATAGCTAAATTTTTTAAAAGCATATTCAAGTTGCAGCCTGAAGTAGGAAGGAAATATGGAGATGCTGGCATCCTCTCTCCAATAAAGCATTGAGGTTAAAGACTGGAATCTGAAAATACACAGCAATTTCAGGGGAATCTGCTGAAACTGGAAGATTGTTTCTTGGCATGTAGGTGGCCACTGAGCTGGCTTTCTGTCAAATCACTTTTGGGTGCATTTGAAATGGCTCAAACAGGCTGGGTGCGGTGGCTCACGCCTGTAACCCCAGCACTTTGGGAGGCCAAGGCTGGTGGATCACCTGAGGTCAGGAGTTCAAGACCAGCTCGGCCAACATGGCAAAACCCCATCTCTACTAAAAATACAAAAATTACACGGGCATGGTGGTGGGCACCTGTAATCCCAGCTACTCGAGAGGCTGAGGCAGGAGAATCACTTGAACTCAGGAGGTGGAGGTTGCAGTGAGCCGAGATCCCGCCACTGCACACCAGCCTGGTGACATAGCAAGAAATGGCTCAAGCGGCCACATGGTCTCTTCCTGCAATCAGGGCTTCCAAATCAGTGGGCTGACAGCCCAGATTATGTTCTGATCCACTGTTTGGGTCACGTGTAGTAGTGATACGGCTCTCTCTCTCCCCACCAAAGGTAGAGAAAACAGGTTGCCTTAAGAAAAGAAGCGAGGAGAAACACATAACTTGAGCTGCATGTTCTTCAGACCAAAACAATGCCTTCTGTAGCTTTTTTTTTTTTTTTTTTTTTTTTGGGACGGAGTCTCGCTCTGTCTCCCAGGCTGGAGTGCAGTGAGGCCATCCCAGCTCACTGCAATCTCTGCCTCTTGGGCTCAAGCGAGTCTCCTGCCTCAGCCTCCTGACTATCTGGGACTACAGGTGCCCACCACCAAGCCTGGCTCATTTTTGTATTTTTAGTAGAGATGGGGTTTCACCATGTTGGCCAGGCTGGTCTTGAACTTCTGACCTCAGGTGATCCACCCACATTGGCCTCCCAAAGTGCTGAGGTTACAGGCATGAGCCACTGCGCCTGGCCTGCCTTCTGTAGCTTTTGTCTGTAAACCAAGTACTACAGTAGAAAGAAGGTGGGTTTTGCCACCTATTATATAATAAGGACATTTTTTTCAAATGGTAACTCCCGTGCTGACAAGGATGTGGCAAAACTCAAACTTCCATACTTTGCTGATGACAATGAAATGTCAAGTTGAAAAGCATTTTTAGTTCTATGTATTAGAACTCATGAAAATATTCGTATCTTTTGATCTAGAAATCCCATTTTGGTAAGTTTATCTTGAGAATTCCATAGACATCTGTAAAAAGATGTTCATTTCAGTGTTATTTATAAAAGCAAAAAATTGAAGTCACTCTCAATGCTCCACAATAAGTAGTTGAGTCTTGATGTATCCCCTGATGGGATATTATACAGTCAGTGTAAGTCATGAGTACAAATGATGCAATAATGTGCAAAAAAATCACAGATTATGTATATGAAGTTACAAGTCAACTCTAAGCCCCCAGCATCTAACCAAGACCTGACACAAAACAGGTATTTAGGAAATGCTTGTTACATTGAAAGTGACCTGCTTGCACGATCTTCCTGTAGCAGCCAGATAGAAAAAGGCTTTGTCTAGTAGAAGGGCTGACCTTGTCCCCACCCAGCCCCTAAAGCACACCTTGGGAACCATGAGACAAGGGGATGTTGACTGAGCAAGGAGGCAAATTACACTCCCTGGCTGTTCCTGCTGGAAGGCTCATCTGTGACTGCTCCCCACAAACCTCTGCCCGCTCCCCACAAACCTCTGCCCCGGTGTAACACACGCATCGTGGTGTCCTAGCATGGGCCTCGTGCTGACAAAGGAGTAAGCCCACACCAGGCGGCTTTGTCTTTCCTGGGAGATGGGGTCTGGCTGGGAAGAGCCTGAGAGGGCCATGCCCCCTGGGAGCACCCAGCCTGCCCTGGCATCCAGCGCCACACTCAGGGCCACCCCACAGTCTGTGCTGGACAGGTCCACTTTCCCCCCCAAGAAAGCATGAGGAGTGGGCATGGCCTGGAGCTGGGGTCGCCACACACACCATGTTGTATGTTTCCATTCTCATTCACTCCACCCCACTGTGTCTCTGGATGTCACATCCTAGGTGCTACTGGATGTGTTTCCTGTGATGAAGAAGAAGAACATTGTATCC
This sequence comes from Homo sapiens, assembly GCF_000001405.40. Taxonomy (NCBI): domain Eukaryota; kingdom Metazoa; phylum Chordata; class Mammalia; order Primates; family Hominidae; genus Homo; species Homo sapiens. The sequence continues at coordinate 127,741,159 of NC_000003.12, read as the reverse complement.
ATGGAATGTAGAGGAAACAGAGACCTAGTTGTCCTGTCTCTCTTTGGGCACAGCTGAGCTCAGGCACCTGGCCACAGAGAGGTTGTCACTGGTCACTGTGGCTGAAGGCCCAGTGGTTAGGTCTACCAGGTCAGGCTCTGTGCTCACTGGGGGTAGCCGTGGGGAGCAGCATTTTCCCTGCTGGCTGGGGCCAGGCATTGGTACCTGCAGCCTGGGCCAGTCCAGCCCCAGGGAAAGCTTGCACTGCTTTGGGGGCGTTCTACTCCCCTAGGCCCTGCCTGGCTGAACAGAACACTTTTCCCGTGCTGTGTTCTTGTATGAAAACAGACGTCCAGAATCCAGCCCTGGGAGGTCCCCACACTACGTCGACACGGCCACATTTTGGCCCCTGCAAGCCTCACCTCCACCCTCAGTGTGGGGAGCTTTCCTTCCAGGCCAGCGTCACACCATTGTCCCCGCACTGGTGACTTCATCCTCCACTTGGAATATATTTTCATCCTGAAGTTTACGTGACTCAGACCACAGGCCACTTCCCTTGGGGTGTACCCCCTACTGCCCTGCACAACCCCCACAGAACTGGAACCTCAGGGCCCCCGCAGAGCCCCTGCCTTCCTTTCTCTTGAATTCTCTAAGCTGGAGGGTGAGGCCAGCAAACGGCGACCTGGGTCCCGGCAGTCCTCAGAGGGGTTTTTGCGAAGTCCACTCAGACTTTTTAAAACTGGAACTGATATGGACAGATACTCTATGATTCCACCTACATGAAGTCCTAGAGCAGTCAAACTCATGAAGACAAAAAGTCAGTGGTGGTTGCCAGGGGGTGGGGGCAGGGAAGACAGAGTTGCTGAACAAGGACCGCGTTTCAGCTGGGGAGGATGGCAGGGTTCGAAGCTGGATGGTGCTGGTAGCTGCATGTCTGTGTGAACGAGCTTCATGCCACAAGTGGTGACTTCGGACAGTGAAGGCGGTCAATTTAGGTTATGCACATTTACCACAAGTTTTTAAAAAGAGAACTAGGAGACTTGACCTTAAAACTGGATTTCTAGCTTATCTTGAACATTTGGAAGACTGGGCCACGCTGGACCCACATTCCTGTGCGGCCTGGACCTGCTGAGGCCAGGGCTTCCCCACTCAGAGCTGCCTGCTGGCCCGCAGGCCTCTGAGCGGGCTCCCACACAGGCAAGGGGACTCGCTGTGTGTGTGTCTGGCCCCAGGCCCACACCTGCATTTTATGAGTCTCTATACGTGCTTCACCTAGACACTGGCCAGCATACAGCAAGTGCTTAGCAAAGGTGCACTGGGGGCTGGCTGCATGCACACTTGGAGGATGGTAGAAAGCATCTCCAGGAACCCCCAAAGCCTCAAAGAAGCAGCACAGTACCACTGGTCCACACCCCTGCGTGGCATCCAGTTGTCCATGTAAGAGTTCCATGAATGAAATCTCAGGCCTGCTGCTCCATCCCAAAGCCCTCCATAAGGTCACCAGCATGGCCGGTTTGCAGTATAATCTTCCAGAGCTTTCTCTCTGCTTTGATATCACGTATGAGCCAAAGGAAACAGTAGTATTTTGTGGGTTTTTAAAAGCATCAGTGGTGAGCTACGTAGGCGTCATTCAGCAATTTAAGCTTTTTCTATCCACAGTGGCTCTTGGAGGTCTTCCCAGGCCAGTTCATACAGTTCACGTTGGCAAGTTATTGAAAGGAGACCAAACTAATAATACTTAATTATTTCTGGTTGGCAGGAGTGGTTTGACTTTTAGTTCTTATTTCTACAACCAATATTTACTGCCCACTTACTCTGTGTCTTACTGCTCTAAGCACTTTATAGCAATTATCTCAGTTAAACTCACTAACAAGCCAGAGAGGTGGGGACTTTCACTACCCTCAATTTGCAAAGGAGGTGACTGAGCCTCAAAGAAGTTGAACCCCCCACAAGAGGCCTCCCTGTGGTGGATCCGGATTTGATCTGAAGAAGTCTCATTCTGGGGTCTTTGCACTCAGCGGCCACTTGAGGCTTTTCGGGATTTTTCCCAGATAGCTCCCTTGAACATGTTTTACTTTTGCAATCAGAGCAGAGATGCAGTGTGTATCATTTAAGATGCAGGCAAATGGACACAGGCATTTCCTTCATTCCACCTGGTGCCTCCTGAATTGAAGGCATCTTCAATGCTGCCTACTAGAAATTTCTGCGATGGTGGACATGTTCTACCTCTGCCCATCCTGCGTGGAAGCCACTGGTTGCGTGTGGCCGTAGGGCATTGGTAAGACTACAGAACTGAGTTTTTCTGCTTTTTCATTTTAACTGATGTAAATGTAAGCATAGCTGGCCTGTGCGGCTGGTGCAGATTGGGACCGCTTCTTTATACAGTCACACTGTCAGTTGGCATCCAGGGACTCTGTGCCCTGCTGCAGAAGCCCCTCACACCACCCTGCCGCTTGGTACTCAGGAGTGCTCACTCCTACAGGGGCTGGACTGGCCTTCTCCCCCATGCTGGAAGCTGAGCAGTGTGCCCAGATGGAGAGGGCCAGATAATCCCTTTCTAACCTCTCTGCAGGCAGGCCCAAGGAGTGGGACCCAGGCTGCAGGGTGCTCCAGCCTGGCAGATGGCTCCTGCCCAGGACCTCCTTCTGCCTGTCCATGGTTGTGAGCAACCCAGGGCTGAGTGGGTGCTGAACACCAGAAGCCTGACCAGCCTCCACCCTTCCACCAGCAGCTCCTTGGGAGGTAGAATTGTGATTCCAGAAACAAGGCCTCCCAAGGCGTGGCTTGCTCCTGTGTTTGCTGGAGGAATCAACAAGAAAGATCTAGGTTACCATTTCCTGCTTCCAGGAACCAAGAACACATTTTTTTTTTTTTTTTAAAGAGACAGAATCTCACTCTGTCACCCAGGCTGGAGTGCAGTGGTGAAATCACGGCTCCCTGCAGCCTCAACTTCCCGGGCTCAAGCGATCCTCCTGCCTCAGCTTCCCGAATAGCTGGAACTACAGGCATGTGCCACCACACCTGGCTAATTTTTTGTATTTTTTGTACAGGTGGGGTTTCACCATGTTGTCCAGGCTGGTCTCAAACTCCTGGTTTAAGCCATCTGCCCACCTTGGCCTCCCAAAGTGCTGGGATTACAGGTCTGAGCCACTGCGCCTAGCCACACGAGCACTTCTTACGTTATTCTTACTTAGATAATATTACCATGTGCCATATGTGAATGCATAATTAATGCCCGTTTTAAGAAGGAGTTGATGGGCGGTGGCTCATGCCTATAATCCAGACTAGGGCAGGGGATCACCTGCGGTCAGAAGTTCGAGACTAGCCTGACCAACATGGTGAAACCCCATCTCTACTAAATACAAAAAATTAGCCAGGTGTGGTGGTGCATGCCTGTAATCCCAGCTACTTGGGAGGCTGAGGCAGGAGAGTTGCTTCAACCCGGGAGGTGGAGGTTGCAGTGAGCCAAGATTGCGCCATTGCACTCCAGCCTGGGCAAGAAGAGCAAAACCCTGTCTCACAAAAAAAAAAAAAAAAAAAAAAAAAAAAAGAAGCAGTTGATGATTTCACTGTGTCCTGGAGGTGGCCAGTGATGTCCTGGAATTGCAAATGACCCGGGCAGATGTTCCAGTGCGGAGAATACAGGGCCGCTTTGGTCTGCAGCCTCAATTTTCATAATGACCCTTATCATGGCAGTGGGCATTTATTGAGTGCTTCCTGTGTGCCCCGCTCTGTGCTAGCCATCATCCATTCCCTCCCTCACTAATTCTCACAGCACCTTCTGACGTGGGCTTGTGAGTGCCCCTTATTGCAGGTGACGAGGCTGAGCCTTCAGGAAGTGAAGTCACTGCCCAAGGTCACACAGAGGTGACCTCCACCTTACTACAGTCACACATCAGAGGGTGCTGTGAGGATTAGTGAGGGAGGGAATGGATGGTGGCTAGCACAGAGCAGGGCACACAGGAAGCACTCAATAAATGCTCACTGCTATGATAAGGGTCATTATGAAAATTGAGGCTACAGACCAAAGTGGCCCTGTATTCTCCTCACTGGAACATCTGCCCAGGTCATTTGTAATTACTGGCCACCTCCAGGATACAGTGCTACTGGCCTTAGCCTCCTCATCTTCCAACTGGTAGATGGTGACTCTTCCCTCCCAGCTTGGGTTATTATTAAACAAGAGGAGGGCCGGGCGCAGTGGCTCATGCCTGTAATCCCTGCACTTTGGGAGGCCGAGGCAGGTGGATCATTTGAGGTCAGGAGTTCTAGACCAGCCTGGCCAACAAGGTGAAACCCTGTCTCTACAAAAAATACAAAAATTAGCCAGGCGTGGTGACATGCGCTTGTGGTCCCAGTTACTCGGGAAGCTGAGGCAGGAGGATCATTGGAGCCCAGGAGGTCGAGGCTGCAGTGAGCCGAGATTGCACCACTGCACTCCAGCCTGGGTGACAGAGTGAGACCCTGTCTCAAAAAATAAAAATACACAAATAAATAAATAAACAAACAAGAGGAGTAGCAGGCCTGATGGCCTGGCATGGGGCCAGGCATACCGCAAGTGCTTAACAAATGAGGCTCTTTTCTCTTTGCCTTCATTACATCTTAGCTGAATTCAAATTTGGAATAGTGCTTATTCATTCATTAAACCCAGGTGAAAGGAGCCCTTCCCCTCACCCAGCCCTGCCTGGGCAGGGATGCATGAAGCTGAAGTCTCCAGGGCAGCGGAGCCATTTCTCACGTGTTCTCTCTAGGACCAGACTCATTTACTCTTTGTGACTCATTACTCTTTTTCGCTGACCCAACTCCTGCCTTTTCTGGAAGCTCTGGGATCCTGACTTCAGCTGTTTTTAGTTGCTTATCACCCAGGCTTTCTAAAAGTTTCACTTCTTGTTAAAAAATATAGTATCTCACATCCTAGAGTAATGAACGTCCATTTTTTTAAAGCAATTTGCTTTTCCTCATGCAATCTTCTTTGTTTTTTAAAGTGATACTTAACAATAATTTCAGCAGAAGTGAAACTTGGGTTGCCAGGTGTCTGTACTTTTATTAGGTTTGACTGACCCTGAGCTCCAAACAATGGAACTAGCACTGTTTGGGAACTTCTGTAATCTCACAGAGGACAACAGATCTAACTGAATGTTTTCAAGGGAAAATAAAAAGGTCTGTTCCATGTTAAACCTGGGAGCTTTTAGCGTGAAGGAACTGAGCCGAAAGATGGTTTAACGCTTGCACTCTAAGAGAGCCAGGATTCTAACTGAAGGTGCAGACCAGCTGCCCCATCTCTTTGCAGAGCTGAACAGGAGAAAATCCTTGTAAGTGGGAGAGATGCAGACTAGATTCAGAAGGATCTTCCCCTGGAAGGATGCGAGCACCAAGAGAATGCCAGAATTTATACATTTTTCTCCTCTGAAACCATACAAAGGGAGGGAATGGGAGAAGGCGGGGAGCGAGCACGTGCTGGAAACCCACCTTTTGCCAGGTATGTTCAGCTGTTTCATTTATTCCCCCAACAACTTGATGAGTAGACAGGAGGTGACTGGAGGTAACTACAATCTTGGAATTTGTGTTTCATTCTCTTGCTTTTTTATTTTATGTGTTTATCACATAAGTATGAGTCTCTAAAAATATGTATATTTGCTTTTGCTTGTTTTCTTAACATTATAAAATGGAGTCATACTTACTCAGTCTTCTGTGATTTGCTTTCTTCACTTTGTGTTTCTTTTCTAAGACTCATCAGTGCTGCTTTGTGCAGCTCTAGTTTATTTGCTTTTCACTACTGTGTGATAATCCATTTGCCACAATGTATCCATTCTCTAGTTATAACAACGGGGCTGCTATGAACAGTCCGATTCCTGTGTCTAAGAGCTTCTCTTGGACATATATCCTGGTGTGGAATTGCTGAGTTGTAAAGTAAGGAAATTCAACCTTACCGGATACCAAATTGTTTTCCCAAGGGGGTTGTACTAGTTTCTCTCCCTCCTGTTGTAGCATATATGAGTTTATGACTTCCTTTAGATCTAAAAATGGGGACTAAGGCAATTCTTCCTTTCTGCTCCTAAAACAAAGGCTTGTTCCACTCTGGTGTTCATCAACAAATGACTTTAATTCTTCCTTTGGGTCTGAATGAGCCAAGACTCCCACGTCGGGCTCCTCCGGGTCTGTTGTGTGGTTCTTGAGGCTAGAGGCCCCACAGTGATCGTCTGTCTTATTGCCCTGACCACACATTCTGTAAGATTCCTCCTTTCTGATGCTGGCTGACTTCCTGTGGGTTGGCCAGGAATGCAGGGCAGACACCCAAATTGTAAGGGAAGGAAGTGTCTGTCCTCCTCACAGTCAGGGGCTCCCATCTCTCCAGAGCCTCAGCCCGTGTGCCTGCCATGACTGGCTGGCTTAGTCACCTGAGGAGAGATGACCAGGAAAATCCAGAGAGAAGGCATTTGCTGGGCTGAGGGGAATAAACTGCCTGTGGAAAGGTGGATTGGTCCTTGGATCTCTTCACCTGGGGGCTGTCAAGTTGGGACAGAGCCAAGATAAGAGCCCTTTTTCAAATGTGTTCTTTCATCTTTTAATGGAGTTGGTTTCTTTGGCAGGCTAGCAAATCCTGCAGGGCCCCTGTGCAGCCACTCTGGAGGGTCAGGGAGACACTCTGTGGTTGGCACCTGCGAAGGAGCAGGGGTGAGAAATGAGGAGAAATGTCTGTCTGTGCCGAACCCCCAGTGGAGAGCGTGTGGGCTCAGAGTTAGGGTAAATGAAGGCACGGGCGCACTGCAGACCCCTGATGGGAGAGGCAGTGGGCGATGCTTCCATGGTGAAATGGAATACTGGGAGCCAGGTGCCCTGGCGCCTCATGGCAACGCCTCCTTACTCTAGGCCGGCCTCGCTGGCATTCCTCTTTGAGCTGATGAGGGACCAGACCAGTCCCAGGTTAGCACCTGGATCCACTTTCCTGCATTTTGGGTAACACATGTTGCGTCTTTCCTCTGGTTATGAAAGTGAGACCCGGTCAAGGTAGATTCAAGGGAAAGCAGCGCTGCATCAAGGCAGCCATGGATCCCACAGGGTTAAGGGGGTGGGCTCCAGAATTAGACTCCTTAGACCAACCCGGCTCCACCACAGGAAAGGCTCCAGCAGGGTTTTCTACTTCAGACCTGGGCCTCCTGCTCTGCAAGGAACGCCCACTTTCCTCTGCAGGGCCACAACGCTCTACGCTGTACGATTGGGAGGCAGGCTGGAGGGGCTCGGCTGCCCTGCCCTCTTTACTGGGCTCTTTAGTGACTTGCTCCACGTCAGCACACCCACCCAGGTGCAGCTGCGCACCCAGCCACTCCATCCCTCTGCTCAGAGGCAAAGCTTCTCCCTCTGAACCCTGGAAGTCAGAGCGATGGCTGCATAGGGTCCTTTCTACCCAGGGAGGCATGGAGTTGGTGGATGAAGCTTTTGACAAGACTTTTCTATAATGATCTTGTGGAGACAGTGATATAATGAGGCCATTTTTTAAAAAATGCAAACATCCCTCTTGTGCCTAAAACTCTCCTCAGCCTCCCCTCTCTCTAGGTAGAGGCCAGCATCCTTACCATGGTCTCAGGCCACGTCCTCCCAAGACAGTGACACCTCTCCTCCCATCCAGTGGTCTGCATCTGCCTTGCCTCCCAGGCCTGAATCCCCCTCACTCTTGTTACCAGAAAGGGGTCCTGATCCAGACCCCAAGAGAGGGTTCCTGGATCTTAAGCAAGAAGGAATTTAGAGGGAGTCCATAGAGTAACATGAAAGCGAGTTTATTAGGAAAGTAGAGGAATGAAAGAATGGCTACCCCATAGACAGAGCAGCCTGAGGGCTGGTGGGTGCCCATTTTTATGGCTATTTCTTGATGATATGCTAAACAAGGGGTGGATTATTCATGCTTCCCCTTTTTAGACTATACTGGGTAACTTCCTGACGTTGCCATGGCATCTGTAAACTGTCATGGCGCTGTTGAGACTGTAGCAGTGAGGACAACCAGAGGTCACCGTTGTTGCCATCTTGGTTTTGGTGGGTTTTAGCCGGCTTCTTTACTGCAACCGGTTTTATCAGCAAGGTCTTTATGGCCTGTATCTTGTGCCAAGCTCCTATCTCACCCTGTGACTTAGAATACCTCAACCGTCTGGGAATGCAGCCCAGTAGCTCTCAGCCTCATTTTACCCAGCCCCCGTTCAAGATGGAGTTGCTCTGGTTCAAACGCCTCTGGCACTCTCACCCTCCTTCCACCCACCGCTCCTCCCAGCTCTGCTCAGACAGCCCTGGGCTGGAAAAGTCACTGAACCTCCTGAGACCCAGTCATGGTGTCCGTCAGTGCACTCGGTGGCCTCATAGACATGAGGTCTCCAGTGGACATTGGCTGCCATTTGTTGTGGTTACTTCCAGGGTTAGCCTCTGCCCAGCCCTTCTGTTCCTATTGTATCCCACACTTAGAAATTTGTGAAGTCTTCAGAAGAACATTTCCCAGTGGCCTCCCTGTTTGCACATCTGCAGGTGCTGGTGAGTGTGAACCACCTGTCCCTGCCTGACACGGAACCAGATCCTTCTCAGGACTCACCTGGGGTGAGCAGCTCTAGGCACAAGCCCTGGGGTCTGGGCGTGTAGGGAAGATGCCAGCCCTGTGTTTTCACACAGCGGGTTCTTTATCTTGTTAAGAAGGCTTTTCTTTCCCTCCTCAATCTTCAGTCCCCTGCTTCCTGCTGTGTTTTGCCCTGAGCTGTGAGAGTGACAACCCTGAGTCTGGAGTTCACACCCTGTACTCAAGTCCCTCCCTGTGGCTCACCTACTGGGGGCTGAGCGCTGCCCTTTAGTCTCTCCAGGGTCTGTTTCCTTTGCTAGAAAATGGGGAAAGAATCCCTACCTCACAAGCTTGTGGGGAACAAATGAAACAAACTCTGGGAAAAGTGCTTTGTACGTTATGAACTCTCACACAAATACCAAGTGCTGTTTTTACTACTTTTTAAAGGCTTCGTCTCACTTTCCTTACGCAAAGCTATTTTTTATCAGCTTTTTCTTCTGTAAGAAAATGAATGCTAAGAAAGCCTGGTTCCCTGAAAAAAGGGAAGGGGGAGGCTGGCTCTTCCCATTCCAGCAGTAACAGGATCACCAGGGTTCTATAGGTTCCCGGGGGACTCATTTTGTACATGGTAACAACATGGAAAGTTATTTTCAGACAGAAATATTTTGTAGGAGACTATTTAATCATTCAACAAAGGATTATCACGAATTTATTATACTTCGCATCGAATGCAGTGCTGGGGTGTTTTAAGAGTACCTAGGATCTGTTTTAATTGGATATGGTAAGACACACAGACATGAACATTACTGTCATGAGGGGAGAAGTTTATTCCATTGACAGGTCCCTAGAAACAGATGGCAAAGCATGCCACGCAGGGCCCTGCAGGGGAGCACGGGGCAGGTCAGGGGCCAGAGGGAGAGGGAACTGTGGGCCGGGGCTTTTATTGTGGCTTCCGAGGGGAAGAACAGGTGAGGTGCAGTGAGCAGGTTTAGGATTGATTAGTTTGAAGAATTTCAGGGCTCTCAGATGCAAGGCTGTCCTTAATTGTCTGTTGCCTGGCCCTGAGGTGATCAGGACAGGGGGACAGTGGCCTGGAGCGGGGAGAGTCTGATAAAGGCAATTGAAGTCCCATCCATGATGGGGTGGGACTGTCTTTCCAGGATCAGCAAGGCCTGAGATGTTAAAGCATCAAAGTACAGCAAATTTAAAAACATAGTTAATACATAGAGACACAAAACTAAAAATATCTTAAAGTCTGCAAAGCAGGGTTCTTTAAAATAATAATAATAATAATAATAATAATAATAATAATAATAAAAGCCACCAAGAGAGCAGCCAGGCATAGTGGTGTGCGCCTGTAGTCCCAGTACTTGGGAGGTTGAGGCAGGGGATTGCTTGAGCCCAGGAGTTTGAATCCACCCTGAGCAACATAACAAGACCTTGTCTCTAAAACAAATGTGTAAATACATAAATAAAACCAGGAGAAAAAGAATTCTCATTACAGATGCAAAACTACTTCTCAACAAACTCTGTTTCCATGGTGGTCAAGGAAACATATTGCATCAGCTATAGCTAGAGTAATGGAATTGAGTTTCTTTGGTAAGTGGCCATTATGGAAACACTGCCTACAATTCATTTCAACAGACATTGATCAAACACCCACCTTCTGCCAGGCCCGTGCCAGGAACCCTAGGGAATGCACAGGTGAATAAAGTATGATCTTTGCTCTCCAAGACGGCCCTGGCAGACATGGGCACATGCACGGTGCATTCCCTCCCCAAGTCCACACAAACATCATCGTTCACTCAGGACTGTTTTGCGCCCCATCCAGCCACACTCACCTTAGAAGCCACTGCAGCACAGAGCCATGTGGCACCCCTGCTCTCAGGACCCTCCATCTATAGGGTGGGGGATGGTGCTAGAGGAGAAAACGAGGGAGGACTGTGATCAACTCACATGTGACAGGGGCAAGAAGTGCTTCAGGGTTATGGAAGGGGTATGTTGCCTTTGAACTTGCAGTAGCTTCTCCAATCTCCCTGCCCACCCTAAGCTCTCCATGACTCACCTCCTCTTCCGGAAGCTGCACCTGCATTTAGGGAATTACAGTGGATGCCATGGATGAAGGGATTTAAAGGGCCTTAAAGGACTGGGGCAGGGTGAGGACCTCAAGGAGAGGCTGCCTGTTCAGAGGCACAGGGCAGGAACGTGTGCGTATGCTTCAGGAACCGTGGGCAGGTGGGTGTGCATGTGGCTCAGATTGTGGCAGAGGAACAAGTAGAAGCCTTCCTGGGAGGCTGGGAATACTGGGCTGGGATGTGCAGGCTGCATTCTCAAACAGTGGGGGCCGTCGGACCACGACACCATCAGAGCAGCTTCCGGAAGAGGAGGTGGGTCATGGAGAGCCTGGGGTTGGGCAGGGAGATTGGAGAAGAAGCTACTGTAAGTTCAAAGGCAGCAACAGTCTCCACCCCTACCGGGATATAACATGCAAAGAAGGAGACTGGATGCAGAAATCTAGAAGGACTTGGGGACCAATTGAATGTAGAAATAGAATTAAAGTCAAAGACGACAGCCCTGTTTTGAGCCTGAATAATTTGGAAGGCTCACAGGGCCTTTAACCGCTATGTGAAGGAGAGCCAATTATTTGCAAGCAATCTGAGGAGCTGTGGAACAGCCAGGAGAGTCTGACCACAGGTTGGCAGGATGGATCTGTAGCTCTGGAAAGAAGCCAGAGTCAGAAACAGTTTATCCAGGAGATGCCTACATTACCATCAGAGTCAAAGCATGGGAGTGATGCGCTTGGACCAGGGAGAGCTCGCAGAGTGACCTGGGGCCTCCTGCATGTAATGTGTGTCAAGGGCAGGCTCCTATAATGTCTCAATAATATGGGGGCTGGCTCATGAATAAGCAAACCAGTGGAGCTGAGCAGAAATCCAGAAATAGACTGGGCTTGAGTGAAAAGGGAACTTTAACACATGATAAGGATGACATTGCAATTCAGTGAAGCAATGAAGGACTTGTTCATAAATTCTGCTGAGACGATTACAAACCATCTACATTTTGGAACTTCTTATAGATAGTGTTGCAACAATATTGTGGACATACTAAATGCCACTAAATCGGTACACTTTAAAATGGTTAATTTTTTGTGAGGTGAATTTCACTGAATTGAAAAAAAGGTCTGGTAAAAGATGGGTATCTCCTACCCTACACCAAGACAAAATTCAAATGGGTCAAAGATTCGAATGTAAAAAAATGAAACTATCTAGAGATGGATGATGGTGATGGTTGCACAAGAATGTGAATGTATTTAATACCACTAAACTGTACATTTAAAGTGGTTAATTTTTTAGGTCATGTATATTTCACTGCAAAAGAAATATAAGTCACAGAAAATATGGCTGAATTCCTTTATACCCGTGGAGTGGGGAAGGCCTTTATCACCAAGAATCAAAATTCAGAAGCCATAAAGTGAAAAGATTGATAACTTGACTATTCAAAAATAAGAATCTCAAAAGAAACCAAAAATAAGAATCTTCTGCTTGGCTAAATACAATGTAAACAAAGTCAAAAGACAAATGACCAACTAATATACAAACAGCTCCTAAATGTTAAGAAGAGATGCGAAACCCCCATAGAAAAAAATGAGCAAAGACATGAATACTCAGTTTACCAAAAAAGAAGTAATGGCTCTTAAAATCTGAGATGTTCAACCCACACTTTGTCTCCTATCATATGAGCAAAAACCTAAATGTCAAACACACAGTCTGCTGGTCATGCCAAGAGAAAGAGGCCCTCTCCCGCATCTCACTCATAGAGTGAAAGGTGACACTCCCACATGGAGGGGAATTTGGTAATACCTACGAAAATTACATATGCATTTACATTTCAGCCAAGCAATCCTGCATCTAGGCACATACCCTGAAGATACAACATCATGCAGATGACATAAAATAGTCCAAGTTTATCTACCGCAGCCAACTGTTTAATAAATAAGAGCTTGGATACAATCCAAGTGTTTTGCGATGAGAGAGTGCTTGAAAAAACTATGGTTCACCCCCACAGGGCGTACTACGCAACAGTAAGGCAGAATGGAGGCAGGTCTGGGATCTGTGACACAGAGTGACCTCCAGAATATGTTAAACGTGAGGAAAAGAAAACCTGGTAGAAATCCAGAAATAGACAAGACTGTTTCTAGAGTAGGATATGTGGCATACTATCTTTTAAGTAAGAAAGGAGGAAAAATAAGAATAGATGGGTGGATGGATAAATAGATTAGACAGAGAATAGATAGATGATAGACTAGATGGATAAATGGATGGATGGATGGATGGATGGATGGATAAACAGGTAGTTTTCTTATTTTTGCAAAAAGAAATGCTTAGAGGGAAAAAACAGAAAATAATTAGAATGATTAACGCTAGGGAACGAGCGGGGAGATGGAGGAGATGGGGTAGAAGTGAGACTTCACTGGATGAATTTTTTAATATATTTCTGACTGTTGTGTCAAGTACACGTTTTCATATTTGGAAAAGAAAATTAAATTGAAAAGCAAGAAGGAAAAACCTACAAATGGAAAGAAATTTAATTTGAAGTTAATGCATCTAATTATCAAATTAGTAACATAAGCACACAGAGAAAATAATTATAACCTGTTTGTAAGAATTTAAACTTCAAACACAATACTCTAGTCATATTATGATTGAACTATATTCTAAAGACAAAAAAATGCAAAGCAATTCTAGCTTCTTGCCGTAGGCTTATTATTGGTGGCAATATTGGTATTGTAATTTTGACGCTATGCTATAAGTAAATATGTTAATGCTATTAGGAACCAAGATTTTCAGTGTAAAAGAAAAGAGATAAAATACAAAATCAAAGAAGGTAAGAGAAAACTTTAGAACATTGATTTCTTGCTCTGTTTTTTTTTTTTTTTTTTTTTTTTTAGCCTTGCTCTGTTGCCCAGGCTGGAGCCCAGTGGCACGATCATGGCTCACTGCAGCCTTGACCTCCTGGGCTCAAACGATTCTCTCACCTCAACTTCCTGACTAGCTGGGACTACAGGTGTGCACCACCATGCTAGGCTAATTTTTGTATTTTTTGTAGAGATGGGGTTTTGCCAAGTTGCCCAGGCTGGTCTCAAACTCCTGGGCCCAAGAGATCTGCCCACCTTGGCCTCCCAAAGTGCTGGGATTACAGGCATGAGCCACTGCGCCTAGCCAGAACATTGATTTATAGTTGAAAATATCTATATGGACTCATTTTTTAAGAATTAAGTTTTCTTAAGTCTCATGTAAAAAAAAAAGAATTAAGTTTTTCAGCTCTGCCTAATGAAGAGCATGAAAGCAAAGGCACCTCGGTGGCATTGGACACTCCCAACTTTAAATCTTGATGTTTAAACACTGAAAGGAAGTGGGGCTCCCTGGAGAAATGGTTAATTCCAAATCTGGGACAAGGAAATTATAAGGTGAGCCTAGTACATTTGTGTTGAGGAAGGGGGGAAGTTCTTGGTAATGAATGGGAACACAGAAACAAGTCAAATGACAGACCATGACGGGAAACAATCAGATACAGGATGTAAGGCATTTACTAGCCTGGCCCCTCTAAGACTAAAGGAACATAGCAAACAAATACAGCATAAGAGTTTTGCATCCTGGTTCTAAAACACCAGCTGTAAAATACTTGGAGACAATGGGGAAATTCGAATTTGGATTGTATATTAGATGATATTAGGGAGCTATTGCTAATTTACTTAGGCAGGAAAATAGTATTGTAGTTTTGAAGAGAATGTCACTAAGCATGCTGAAGTGTTTAGGGTGAAGTGTTTTAATAGTTAATAGATTATTTTTATAACACTTTTTATTCAGAAATACCTTCAACTTCACAGAAGGTTTGCAAGAATAGTATAAAGAACCCCTGTAGGCCAGGCGCGGTGGCTCACACCTGTAATCCCAGCAATTTGGGAGGCTGAGGTGGGTGGATCACAAGGTCAGGAGATCGAGACCATCCTGGCTAACATGGTGAAACACCGTCTCTACTGAAAAATAGAAAAAAATTAGCTGGGCATGGTGGTGGGCACCTGTAGTCCCAGCTACTCGGGAGGCTGAGGCGTGAACCTGGGAGGTGGAGCTTGCAGTGAGCCGAGATTGCGCCACTGCACTCCAGCTTGGGCAACAGAGTGAGACTCCTACTAAAAAGAAAATAAAAAATAAAAAAAAATAAAAAACCTTTAGATCCTTTACCCAGATTTGTCTGTTGTTATAATCTGCAACTTACTTTTCTTTCTTTCATTCTTTTCCTTCTTTCTTTCTTTCCTCTTTCTTTCTTTCTCTTTCTTTCTCTCCCTCCCTCCCTCCCTTCCTTCCTTCCTCTCTCCCTCCCTCCTTCTCTCTCTCTTTCCCTCCCTTCCTTCCTTCCTCTTTCTTTCTCTTTCCTTCCTTCTGTCTTTCTTTCTTTCTTTTCTTTTCTTTCTTTCTTTCTTTCTTTCTTTCTTTCTTTCTTTCTTTCTTTCTTTCTTTCTTTCTTTCTTTCCTGCTTTCTTTCTCTTTCTTCTGTTTCTTCTCTTTCTTTCCCTTTCTTTTTTTTTTTGAGATAGGGTCTCACTTTTGTCCAGGCTGGAGAGCAGTGGTGCGAGCACAGCTCACTGCGGCCCCAACCTCATGGGCTCCAGTGATCCCAAGTAGCTAGGATTACAGGTGTGCACCACCACGCCACCAATGTCCAGTTTCTGTTTTAAATTCTTTTTTAGCAACAGGGTCTGTCTTGTTATATTGCCCAGGCCAATTGTGAACTCTTGGCCTCAAGCGATCTTTCCACCCTGGCCTCCCAAAGCACTGGGATTACAGATGTGAGCCACCTTGCCCAGCCTGCAATTTACTTTTAAAAGATTCAGCCATTTTTATATTCATAAATGTGTATGTATACAGCAAATAAAATAACAACTGTTGAATAAAGATAGTAGGCATATGGGTTTTTATTGGAATGTTTTTTTCAGTGTTTTTGTGCATTTGAAAGTTTTGTAGTAAGAAGCTGGGGAGGAGCCCTATTTCAAACGTTGGAAGATCTTCAGGATATGGTGTCAAGTGAACGAAGCCCTACACAGAGCAGGATCTGTTGTGTGTTTCTTTGTGTTTAGGACCGGGGTAAAAATTAGGATTTATATTTGTATTTGCTTGTAAAGAGGCTGAGACACTAAGAGAAGAGTTTAGGGGAAGATAGGGAATCGGGTGGATGGGAGGAAGTGGGAAAGGGACCGTCAGTGTACATCTTTCATGCCACTTTGATTTTGTACCATGTGAATCAAATGTCTTTTAAAATGCAATTTTTTAATTAAAAATGATTGAATGAAGGAATAAATACAGAAATCAGCCAGGAAGGAAAAGAGAAAAAGAAAACACAGCCAGATGAGAAGGAGGAGAGCCAAGGAAGTCCATTTCCAGTGCACCCCATGACAAAGTCAGCAGGAGCATGTGGTGCTGAGTGAGCCAAGATCTCGGAAGAGGATGGGGTAAAGGCTTACTGGGGTGGACTCAGCTGAGGGTCGCACGGAGCCTCCAGGGCTGGAGAGAGAATGTAGGTGGGAAAAGGGCCATGAGTGTGGACCACCCCTTAAGGAGGGAGGGGAAGAGGGCAGCTTGGGGGCTGTGGATGAAGGAGGGAGGATGGGGATGCAGCTGGCACAGGGAGCAGGCTGGGCCAGGAGTGGTCGGAATCAGAAAGGGGGATGCTTCCAACGTAGAGGGCCATTTTAGACTGTCCCCATGTTTTCAAAAAAATGAGTGATACTACGTCCCCAGGGTTGTGAGGTAGGATTGCAAGTTTTGGGAGAATAGAAACATACGGAAGAGATGCCCAGATGAGCTTGTTTGGAGACCAAGCCTGTGGGAAGAGGGAGCCTGACACTGGGCAGCCCTGGTGTTGCCTTGGCTCAGCGTTTGTGTGCAGCCAGCCCTCAGGCTTTAGAGTGTGGAGGAGCAGCGGCTGCATCCAGAGAGATGTTCCACATGGAAATGCGGGGTCATGCCTCAAAAATTCAACACAGAATCACCATCTGACCCAGCAACCCCACTTCTGGGTATATACCCCAAAGAATTGAAAGCTGGGATGTGAAGAGATATTTGCACACCCATATTCACAGCAGCATCATTCACAATAGCCAAAAGGTGGGAACCGTCCAAATGTCCCTCGACAGACAAATGGATAAACACAACATGGTCCATCCACAGAATGGAATATGCTGCAGCCTTAAAAAGGAAGGAAATTCTGACACACACGACTACATGGATGCACCTTGAAGACACTGTGCTACATTAAATAAGCCAGACACAAAAAGACAAATATGGCCTGATTCCACTCAAATGAAGTCCCTAGAGTAGTCAAATTTATAGAAGCAGAAAGTGGAGTAGAGGGTGCCAGGGGTGTGGGGGAAGAGAGAGTAAGAAGGAAAGGGGAGTTGGGGTTTAATAGCTAGTATGAGTTTGCCAGGGCTTCCATAACAAAGGACCACAGACTGGGGCCTCGACAACAGACATTTATTGTCTCACAGTTCCAGAGGCTGGAAGTCCAAGATCAGGGCATCAGCAGGGTTGGTTTCTCCTGCAGGCTCTCCTTGCCTTGTAAATGGCTGCCATCTCCCTGCATCTTCACATAATCTTCCCTCTATGTCTGGGTTCTAATCCCCTCTCCTTACAGGACACCAGTCATTTGGATTAGGGCCCACCCTAAGGACCTCATTTAACTTAGTCATGTTTTTTAAGACCCTGTCTTCAAATAAGGTCCCATTCCGAGATCCTGGGGGTTAGAGCTTCAACATATGGATTTGGGGGACACAAGTCAACCCATATCAATTGGTATGTAGTCTCAGCGTGGGAAGGTGAAAAAGTACAGGGTTGCACAATAATGTTGATGCCACTGAACCTTACATTTAAAAATGGTTCAAACAGTACGATTTATGTTACGGATATGATAGCACAGTAAAAAGTAAAAATAAATTTTAAAAGAGAAAAAAGCTCAGAAGGGCAAGGAAAGGGGGAGTGCTGCTGAGAGGGTAGTGGGACTCCCGGGCCCACTGGGATGGTCAGACAGACCGTGGGGGGGCGACTGGGAAGGTGGGTGTGGGGGAAGGGCCAGTGGGAAACACGGGAGCTTGGGGCCTGACAGCAGGAGGGTCTCCAAGCTGGAGGTCTGGGCAGCCTGTCAGTTCCAGGTGGTGACCGTTATTACTGCAGCAGCCTCCCCAGAGGTGGCAGAGGCTTAATGAGTGCTTCAGGCTCTCAGCAGGGAAGGTCTGGGCAGCCCCTCTGGCTGTGTGGTCCCAGTTCTCCAGAAGCGCTTTCTTTTTTGCCATTTTCAAACCATCACAGCTGCTTTCAGCCCGAATGTGAAGCCACAGCCAGTGAGTTGTTTCTATAGCGACTGATGTCCTTCAAAGAGGGAGAAAGTGGAGGGCCCTAAGGAAAGAACAAGGGGGTGAACAGCACAGATATGTGACAGATTAAACTCAAGAGGGAGAGAATGTGACCTAGTTTCACTGCAGCTTCGTCGAGACGCTTTCTGGCAAGCACACCCGATGACTACATATTATTTTATGTTTGTCATATTATCTTCACCTAAAACTGTAAGATGAGGGGCTGAGTGTACCACTCTACCTAGTGAAAGGCCAATATTCAGGCACAGCTGCCAGGGGCAAGGAACAGGGAAAATGCAGGAAAATTCTGAGCCTTCTTCGTCTTACTCCCGGCTGCTTTGCAGAACACTGGGCATGCTGAGGCTCTCTGTGTACCTGTGCTTTTTCCCTTCCTTGGAAACCACCCCCAAGGGAGCCTTTGTAGTAGGTACACCCTGGCTCGTTGCTTCCTAGTGGTGTGATCTTGGGCACATTCCTCAACCACTCTGTGCCTCAGTTTCCTAATCCATAAAAAGTGGGGAGAAGAATTCCAACGTTCAAGAGTGGCTGGAAAGGGTTAAATGAGGTGACACATTCAGGCGCTCAGGAGAGAGAGCGATTGCAGTGAGGAGAACTCTGGGCTTGTGTAGGAGTCGACCTGGTAACTGCAGCTCTCTCTCATCTCCCGTTCCTTTCCAGTTGGCCACGGACAGAGCGAAGGGGAGAGGATGGTAGTGTCTGACTTCCACGTTTTCGTCAGGGATGTGTTGCAGCATGTGGATTCCATGCAGAAAGACTACCCTGGGCTTCCTGTCTTCCTTCTGGGCCACTCCATGGTAAGCAGACCACAGAAGACCCAGGTTAAATCCACCCTGGCTTCCAGCCTTGCAGGGGGAAGGGGGTGGCCCTGACTTCCTGCCCCCCACTGCTCTCTGCCTGGCTGGCATGATGTCTCCCTTTGTGCACTGCACTTGGAGTTCCTGGGCAATTCCGTGCTTAGGAAACAAGGGAGGCTGCCAGCCGGTCCTTAGTGAGCAGCTTGAATACGGGGCCTCTTGGAAAACTGATCTTTTTCTCAACGTTCTTTGGCCCACTTGGTGCCATTTCATAGTGAGGCTGCTAAGAGCCACTTCTTGGAGGGGGGAATAGCTCCTTCATCAATAAGAAGCACATGAAATGTCCCCAAACCCTGTGTGCTTGTTTCAGAATTGAACTCAGATGACAAATGTTAACTAGGGACAGAGGGTCCACATGGAAACAATTCCTTAAAGCTTATTCCAACTCCTTCCACCTTTTAAATATGTAAATTGAGCAAATATAATCTTAAAATGTAATCGAGCAAATGTAATCTTAAATCGGGGTCCTTAAACTGGCAGCCCACAGGCCAAATCTACCTACAGACAAAGCAGGCTGGTTGGCTGACCAAGATATATTGAACTGCTTGAATTTGAAGGCCTGGGGACATCTGACCAGGGCAGGCCTTGCCTCCTGCCCCATGGTCACTGCCTGGCTCTGTCCTTACATTTCTCTTACCTGCCCAGCCCCGTGAGCATTTGCGGTTGCAACCCTTGCTTTTAAGCACCTTTGTGCTTCAGCAAACAGGTGAGGCCTCTCTCCTTCAGCACCATCCACGTTCACTCCCATTTTTCTTGGAATTTAAATTTCTAGGACCTTTACTAAACCAGGAAAAAGTATAGTATAGCAATCTATTATTATGATCAGATTACCCCCCACCAAAAAAAAAAAAAAAAAAAAAAACCCTCCTATTAAGCCTGTCGGGATGGATGAATTGGGGTTTTGCCAGCTTTGGGCTTGAAATGAAGTGGGAATGTGTTATTGTTTAACTTGCGGCCCACAAGCAGGAACCTTATTTATATCTCTCTGAAATGTTTGCTCTTGGAAAACCCAGAGAAAAAAACATGTATAATAAAATAATTGCAGATCTAGTTTAGCCAACATTTGATGGTGCCTCTTCCAAGGTAGTCCTCCTCAGGGCTCTTGGCCAGGACTGCAGCTTAAGAGGACTGCATTGGTCATGTTTATTAGAAATGTGTGCACTGGTGCAAGCCGAACACAGCAGCTCTGCCCATTCTGCATTACAGGGAGGCGCCATCGCCATCCTCACGGCCGCAGAGAGGCCGGGCCACTTCGCCGGCATGGTACTCATTTCGCCTCTGGTTCTTGCCAATCCTGAATCTGCAACAACTTTCAAGGTAAAAGGACCTTCCAGTCTGTACAATTCCTACAGGTTCCCCGGGACATGGGTCTTCCATTTGTAGCCTGAGTCTATGTAAAAAGACCAAAGGCCATCCTTGGACCTCAGACACTATTGCGTGAGGGGTTGGACAAATATCCAACACTGTTGCCACCGGGGTTCTGTAATTTCTAAAGGCAGGTGCCATTTTCCCCCAAGACAAAAAGACAATGCCTTCCTGTTTGTGCATGTTTTATTGATGAATTTTAAAAGGAGACGAGGTTAGACTTGTTATTTGTCCAGCAAAGTCACGTTTGTTAACAAGTCACACTCAAGGCCTGGGCTGTTTTTCACTGATTATTTGCCAACTTCAGCAGAAAGTGAACAGTGAGTGGAACTGCAGGCACTCCTAACTGCATGCAGTATGGAGTCGCATCCACTGCCGCGCTCCTCCGCCCCGGGCACTTTTGACCTCTGACTGTTAGGGATCCGTGATTTTGTTTTTCTGGTTGGAATGACCCATAGGAATGATATACCCTGTAGGTACTGGGACTCTGGGCTGCTTTTGCCAAGGCAAATGAACCAACAAATGATACCTAGAGGTGGAGCAGGCACCTTCTCTCCCCGAGAAAGGAGATGAAACCAGTGGCCTCGGTAGGGCGGCTTGCTTGTGACTCTGGCTTGTTGACAAGGTATCAGTTTAGACCCGGCCTTGGGGGCATCAGGCTTAAGGTAGATACATAGCCGCAGTGAGGGTGGAGAATCCCAACCCCACGTATCCACAAGGAATCCTCAGTCTCACCCCAGTGCTGGGCAGGGGCTGCTGCCTCCTGAGTCAGTTCTGGAGACTCTCAAAGGAGAAAGAGGTGAGATAGTAGGTCATGGGGCCAGGTGCACTGGGCAGCCGTCACCCACAGGCTTACCCTATGAACTGTGGGATCATTTAAATAATGACATTAGCTCTTATTCCCCCACCGCACTCTCTTCAACACAGTACAGGGAATGAAACCTTATAACAACATCCTCAAAGGGTTTCCTTCAGCCCATGACCACAGACTTGCTCCTGGCTCTAGAGACAGGCTTTCAATTAAAAACAGAAAATTTCAGCCATCTGAAATGGGGCTCGGCTTGGCAAAAGAGAAATCAGGGACTATCTGATAGTTTAGCCAGAGAACGATGATTTACTTAGTTTGCGAGAGAGATGGATGATATCTCCTTTGAATTTTACTCCAGTTTAAGGAAATCACGGACTTACTGAAATTGACTATCATGAATGAAGTTCAGTGCTGTGTGGGACAGTACCAGGGTTCTGTCACAGAGTGATCGAGGTCCCTTAGCATCACAATGCCCGGATGTGCACTACCTCTTCATCATTGAAACGTGCGATTGGGGGGAGACATGACCTACTCAACATCTCCCGTGACTATGGTTCTAATTATCTAAGTAGAATAAGCAGGCCCAGACTCAGCAGCAGGGGCGTTCCCGCTGCGTTCCATGGGATTTGCTATATGCAGGTCTGCAAAATTCAGCCAATGCCAGGCATGCACTGTGCTCTCCCAGGCATTGTCTCATTTAACTCCTCTCCAGCCCAGGAGCAGGTTGTAGCAGCACTTTCCAGATGGGAAAACCTGGGCTTAGGAAAGATGAATGGCTGGCCAGGATTGTGCAGCCCTTGTGATGGGTTTGAATCCAGGGCTGCCCACTCCCCATCTAGGATATTTCCCCAGGGAAGAAAATGGATGTTTCTGCAATGGATGTTTTCCCTTACAGAAAAGCCAGGGCCCACAGGACTTTTCAGATAAAGTGCACCAGGGGGACCTGGCAGCTGGGCCTGGAGGTGGGACCAACAAGGGTTTCCTCCCAGAGCCCCCTGGGCTCTATACCGACCAGGGGAGGGGGCACTTCTGGGCAAGGCCACCACTGTGACCTTTCAAAGACTTGTGCTAATAGATCACCTTGTGACATTCGGAGCCAGCTGCCCCTGGGGGAACACAGGTCTCCTCTTATTAACCAAGACAAATGAGGTTTCCCTTTGCCCCAGACTTGAGGGCCCAGCTTCCCCTCCCTGAGATCTGTTGCTGCTCCTGCATCTCTGGCAATTTTGGCTGACAAAGTCCATGATGCATTCGTCCACCCTGCCCCTGGAAGGCTTCATCACTCTTGGCACATTTTCTAGTCTGGTCTGACAACCTTCCTGAAAGTCTCACAGGATCTATTTTTTAATGTAATTTAAAAGTTTTAAGAATAAGACATTTCTATGGTTCAAAATTCAAAAGATATGAAGGAGGATGCAGGGAGAGTCTCTCTCCCGGTTGGCGTGGGCAGCAACCCATGGTACCAGCGAGAGTCTCTGCAACTCCCGTCAACGCTCACTCCATTTGTTCTTCTTTTTCACACAAATGGGAGCTTGCTCCATGCATGTCGGGGGTACTCTGTGTTTGCTTTTGTTGTTTTGGTTGGTGTGTTTGTTTTTGTGGGTTTTGGGTTTTATTTGGTGGTTTTGCTTAGCAACCTTTTGGTGCTCCTTCCCCATCAGGACCTACCAAGGGTCCCACTGCAGGGATAGGTCCTGGTTTCAGGAGGGTGCCCTGGGGTCATTTCCAGTTGTTTGCTCTTATGAGCCTCAATGATGGAACAATTCCTAGAGCCCACCTCCTCCCTCTAGCGTTCTGTTTGGGAAATCTGTTTGGTGGTGGGGCTGAGGGGCTTCCCTGAGTGTGGCTGTGAGTGGTAGCAGAGCACAGTCAAGTCCCAGCCTCCTGACTCCTCAGACAGTGTTCAATCCATCAAGCCATTCAACAGTTTCCCAGCACCAGGCACCTTCTAGAGCAACTCCCCCAGTTAGTAAGGGGCAGCGTGAGATGCCCAGTCTGTGAGTACAGTCTGGCCTGTGGAAGACGGCCAGCCCCCACCCCCTGCAATGTGAGAACGCCAGATCACCCCCACCCTCCTAAATCTCGCCACCATCTGGTTCTTATGTGGATGCTGGTTTTCAACAAGCTGGGATATATTTAGCCTGGAGATGAGACAATGAGGATGGATGGGGGGGCCCCAAACATTGTCTCTGCTGAGAAAGTGGTTTCGCAAAGTGGTAGCAGCAGAAATTCAGAAACAAAAACTCCATGCATCTGAACAAATCTGGCTATTTGTGAGGTCACTCTGTGGGGTTTTTCACCATGGCTCGCGGCTCGTGCCTGGGTACAGAGGTGGAACTGTGGCCCCCCAGCTGGAAGAGTGTAAAGCTCCAGGTGCCCCTCGGGATTTCCCACCCTTAGTTGTCTGGGACAGCACTCAGGAGCAACTGCAGGCTGCAGGGCCCCTCCTTTCTCTGGGAGCCTCTTAGAAGAGAAAAATCCCTCTGGGCTAAGCTTGAGGGATGGGGGTCTCAGCCTACCAGGAGAGTAATCATTCTAAATGACCTCTCCCTGTTGCCAAGGTTGTCCCTTGGGTTCCTGGGGCAGGGGTGCAGGAGTCAGCCAGTGCTTCAAGATACTCCCACTCTCCGCCAAGAAGGGCACCTCGCCCAGTAGGGAGAAGGGGGTTGCCCCTGGGAGCCCAGCACTCGGTGCCTGACATGCATTGTCTCCATTCCTCTCCAGCACCGCCCTGGAAGGAGGGGAAATTATTCCCAATTTACAGACAAGGAAATGAGGCCAAATGTCTTGCTCGAGTCAGCTTGAGCACCAGCTCAGACCAGCTAGCATGCCAGGATACCCCCTTTCACCCCAAAACACACCTGAAATCAGCTTCCCTTAATGGAGCCCACTCCCATCTGAATGTCACTCATCTGTTTTTAGCCATAGAATCCAGAAGGCCCTTGGGGCAGTGGGAGATTGCAGGGAGGGAGGGGAAACAAGTGGAACATGGCCACTCTTTCAAGCTTCAGGTGAATTTGGACCCAGGATCCCGGAACTTAGCCATGCACTGGCCCTTTGGGCAGCAGCAATGAGCTGCCGTGGGGGTTAGTTCACCTCTGTCCTGTGGGCACCTGCTCTCTAATAGCTGGGTGTTGGGCTTTCTAGACACCTGTTATTCCAGGAATCAGCTGTCTTCCTAGCAAGCCTCCTGCCACACATCTTTGCTGAGCCCCTGATCTATCAGGAAACAAATGTCCTGGCCTTCCCAGCAAGGGTCACTGGGAAAGGGGCACAGCACTTTCTGTTTTATGGCTGCCTTAAGGTGTCCTCTCACTCTCAAGAAAATCTGGGGCAACCCTGAGGGTACCTGCTGTGTCCCCCACATGGCCGTCCTATGACCCTTGTCATAGTGCTGTCCCACGGAAGGTGGGGAGTCCTAGCCTCCTGCGCACAGGTCAGCCTGTGGGAGCCACTTAGGAAACAGCATCTGTAATTGCCTTCCTCATGGCAAGGCTTTCACTGGCAGAAGTGAAATTCACTTAGAAATGATCACAGGGAGCCATTAAAACCTTCTGGATCAATAAAGGCATTTGTGCCTGTCTCTAGTATTTAAAGTGACAGGCGTGATGGTGCATCGGGAACGCCCCTCAAGCCTCTTGCTCATCAAGATGTTGACTTCAGCTGTGGGACAGTTGCCCTATTTGTGGATGACTGTGTCATTTGTTGCAAAGCTGCACGTCACGTGCTTTTCCTGAAGTCTCTACTTTGAATGACATTTGCTCATTCATTCAGTCAACCAACACCTATTTATTGGGCCTCTCCTTAGGGCCAGAAGCCAGGAAGAGAGTTAGGGACCTGCTGCAGAGCGGTTGAGTCTCATGCAGCTCTCCCAGCATCCCTTCGGAGTTAGTTTAATTATCCCTGTCTTACAGGTGAAGAAACTGAGATCATAGACTTTCTCGAGGATTCAGAATCAAAGTTCAAATCCAAATGTGCCTGCTTCGCGTCTCCAAATCTGGTTTCTCCATTTCATCGCCTGTCCCTTCCGGGGTTGGGGTCTAGTGACTGTGTAGCCATTTGTCATGGGTTTTGGCCCCAAATTATCCTCAGGCGACGACCCCTGGGGTCTGGGTTGAGCTGGCATAATTGGGAGCTCTGTGGTTACACAAACCTGGTTTCACCAGGGTCATGGGGCAGGTGCGGGGGGTCTCACCTCAATGGGGGAGCCATGCAGGGGCTCCTCTCTCCTGAGCTGGATCCAAGGCTCTCTCAATGCTCCTGTAGGACTATTCGAGGATTTTGAAACACTTGATGGAAAAGGCATCAAGAATGTTAAAGTTTTGGATTCCACGTCCTTTTTGGGTGAGCAACTCCCCTCTGAGGCTTCCCTGGTGTGCTCACAGCTCAGGATGGAGGTTGTGGGAGAGCAGGAGCAGCAGTCATCTGGTCGACCTCGACAATGTGATCCATCTGGGTGCGGGACCTGCCATGACTCCTTCCTTCCCCACTGCTTCCTCGTCATGCCGCCTCAATGGCCCCTGCTCAACCGTTCTGCTTTCCTTCATGCACAATCAACCCACTTCCTCTGCTTAGCTCTTTCTCCTCCCATCCTACCCTTTCCTCCTTCAGGAGAGATTAGGCTCATGAAATCAACAAATCTTAAAAGAGCAGCAGGGAAAGGGGATCTCTTTTGCAGTTGTTCAAAACATCCTGCCCCTGCATGGCAGCTCTCCTCTTTCTTGGGGCTTTTATGGGGAAGAGGCTAAACACCTAATTTGTTTTAAGCCATGAAGTTATCATTAAAATATTTGCCTCTACACAATTGAGTCTTGTTAGAAATATGGCTTGGAACTTACTATGCAGGTTTAGAAAAAGAGCTGAAGATCAGGGCTATGCAAACATCTCTTATGGTGGTTCCTTTGAAAGGGCAGCTTGCCCTGCAGGGACGTGTACACCTCCATCCTAGCCAGTGCCTGTCAGAGGCACTTCTGCTCTAGCTGCACACAGGATCCCTAGGGAACTTTAAAAAGGCCCTGATGCCAGGGCCCCACTTTGGCCAATACAATCAGAATCTCTCAGGGCAGCACTGGGAGGAGGTGTTTCTGGTGTTTCATGGACACACACACTGCCAGCCCCTGAGACTTCACCACGCACATGAATGCCCAGGAGCCCTGTGAAGCTACAGATCCTGACCCAGAAGCCAGGTGGCCCTGGAGCCCCTGGCGCTGCTGGTTTGAGGACCACACTGAGCAGGGAGGCCCTGGGATGTTGGGATGGGTGTGCTGTGCCCGCTACCATACGCCAACTGGATTGAAGGAACAGAACAGTACAGGCGGTTCCATCTTCCTGGGAAGACAGGGAGTTACAGATCGTTTTAAGGGAATCCCAGGACTCTAGAAGTCTCCTTCATGGGTTTCTCTTTCTGCACCTTTCCTGTGAATGGTGTATCCACCCGGGTCCCCTCCTGCCTCTTTGCACACTCTCTGTGGTGTAACTTGCACCCAGGGCTTCAGCAGCCATCTATGCACTGAGACCTTTCTGTTCTTGGGGTGGCATTCCTCGGGATTTAGTGCCAGGACACACCTGTGTGCGCATTCACTGGGAAAAGTCTGCAGAATCTACACCAGGCCTTCCTGGAGGGCGTGTTCCTCCATCTACATTCGTGATGGAACAACCAGTTATTGTCGCCGGGACACCAGTGCCTCATGCACACCATCAGCCACGGGAGTTTTACTGTTACAAGCTTGTCCTCTTAGGCACATTCCCTCATCCTGAACCTGCTGGCAGCAGCTCCTTTAGGGGAGCGAGGGTGGCTGCTTGTCCCTTCCGTCCTTGGGCAGCCAGCGCTCAGCTGGATGCATGCAGTGGAAGTCACCTTCTGCCTCCACTCCTGAGCAGGATGTGCTCTCCCCACATCTCCTGTTTGCGCTTTCAGCAATAGATCATTCACAGCCATAGGACGGGGAGGCCTCCCAGTCCTTGGCTTTTTGTACCTGGAAGGGGATGGTGAGGCGTTCAGCTGCCAGGAATCACTTCCTTCCCTCCAGGGACCAGCCCCTTGCATTGTTCATTTTCTAAAGCAAATACTTCTCAGGAAGTGGCTCTCCTCTTTTTTTTTTTTTCCTACGAAGCTCTTTTCTTAAAAGCTTACTTTAACTGCAAAAAGTTCCACTGTTCATGGAGGAAGAAAATCAGGCTTGCTGGGTGAGACGACAGAATAGGGCTTGCTGTAATTCTCTCCTGGAGGCAGGCTCTCTCTCTGGCTCTCTGTTCCCCCTTCCCCAACCTCTGTGAAACCACTTCAAGGATGGCTCAAGCTGCGCTGATCCTTGAGGCGCCAACAGCCTAAGCTGTCAGCATCTTCTCCAGAGCCTGGAAGTAGAGGCCTTGTCACTTTTTGGTATAAAAGTTTTGGGTTAAGAGGTGCCAGCAGCAGAAACATATGTTCAAGGATGAAGGTAAGTCTGTCTTCACAAATGACTGATCCTGAAGATGGACTGGCACCTCCAGGCCCAGGTCCCTGCAGAATCAGGTGATGGGTCCCCAAAACACAAATGGTGGCACAATGAGAAATCTGGTGGTGGGCTTGGACGAAATGGTGTGGATGCTGGGTGGTCTCTTGCTTTCACCTCTGTGGCAGGCACTGCTGAGGTGCTGGGTCCCTGGGCCTTTTCTTGGCTCTGAGCCATCTGGTCAGGGAATGGGTAGGAAGCTGGCTTACATAAAACAGTCATGTCCCTGAGAAGGCTGTGTGGGCCCCAGCAGGCAGGTGGGTTGACCTGGGAGCAGCGCCTGCAAGGCTGGCACTTGCACACCATCCCGTTACACAGAGCCTTCCTGCGGTTCCTGAGTGTGGTGGGGATCCTCCCGCCACAGCTGGCAGCCCCATGTCTCCTCTGGCTGCACACAGGATCACTAGGGAACTTTAAAAAGGCACTGATGCCAGGGCTCCACTTCGGCCAATACAATCAGTCTCTCAGGGCAGCACTGGGAGGAGGTGTTTGTGGTGTTTCATGGACACACACACTGCCAGCATCAGGGAGTAGTGACAGGGTACTGAGAACAGCAGAATATCTAGAAGTGAGTTCTTCATAACTGTGGAACACAGAAGTCTTCCCTCACAGTGTGGCCCTTGCCCACTGCTGCTGGAGGAGAGCGCTAAGGCCCTGGAACACTCGTCCTTACACAGCCAGAGTCTAGTGAAGGCCACAGAGCCACAGCCCACTGCCTTTATGCACTGATCCACTCCATTTTCTCATTTTTAGATTGTTTTAACCTTTGAAAGCACAGATCCCAATGCAGACGAGCTCCCAATTCTTGGAGTTCACAGACATTTGATCCGTGTTTGAAAATACCCCAGTCCTTGTGCAGAGTTCCCAGAATTCCAAGTTTTCCTTTCCCAGGCTCGTTCTTGGAGCTGGCCCATGATACTAGCTGGACTCTTGAACATTCCTGACCCATCACGGCCACCCTTCGAGGCTTCCGATTATGCAGACACACCATGCCCCTGCACAGTGCTCAAAGTCAGGCTGCCGCATGCTTCTATACTAGACAGTCAAAGTCGGAGCCCAGGGCTCAGCAAAGCACCTGGCACAGTGGCGGCTGCAGAATGAGATCTGCTTGCCTGGATGCCAAGGCTGGAGGGCAGTAAGCTTCGGTATCCTCAGAGGCAGGGGGCTGCCACCTTTGCACTAAGAAGGAATTACTGATTTCTACCATTTGAGAAAAGGAGTGTTGACCACATGGAACTCCGAATAGGTTCATGCACATGGAACAAAGCCCTTTAGGAGAAAAGCCCGTTTTTTGCTGTCTGCCTGATACTGGATGGTTGAGAAACAATCGTGGTGGGCAGTCACGCCACACTTGTGCGGGCCTAGGACACAGGAAGGTTTAGCCCTGGCCTACAGGGAGGGTGGGCAAGCACAGCAATCTTGTCCCCCAAAAGAACATCAGTGGCCGCTGGTGCCAAGACCCACGGGAAGGTTAGAGCTCTGGGTTACATTTGTGGAGAGAGACACAGACAGCGGCAGAGACAGAGACGTAGTAATCCAGGCTGTGTGGCATAAGAAGATAAAGCGGCCCCCCAGCCCGGGGCCCCTCCCATGGACCTCATGGTACCGAGCCTCCATTTTCTCATCTGTTCAGTGAGGATGAAGCCTCATCTCCCAGGGTTTTTGCAAAGACAGGGAGACTGGCCGGGCGCCGTGGCTTACGCCTATAATCCCAGCACCTTGGGAGGCCGAGGCAGGCGGATCACAAGGTCAGGAGTTTGAGACCAGCCTAACCAACATGGTGAAACCCCGTCTCTACTAAAAATACAAAAATTAGGCAGGCGTGGTGGCACGCGCCTGTAATCCCAGCTACTCAGGAGGCTGAGGCAGGAGAATCACTTGAACCCAGGAGGCAGAGGTTGCAGTGAGCCGAGATTGCGCCACTGCACTCCAGCCTGGGTGACAGAGCAAGACTCTCAAAAAAAAAAAAAAAAAGATAGGGAAACTGTGCCCAATGCACCAGAAGGTGGTTCCTCGGTGCCTGTGAGTGCCCTTGCCCTCTGCCAAGGGTACTGAGCTACGTGCCCTGTGCCCTTGATGTACACTGAGAATTCACTGCTTGCCACCTTCCGTCCAATTCTAATTTCAGCATTTCACAGCTCACTTTTGAAATAGCATCTTTCATCCCCAAATGTCTGTGCACATTGCAGAAATGAAAACAGCCCCTCTCTGAAGGCAGAAGTGTGAGATCCGGGTTCTCTGTTTTCCTGGGAAAACAAGAGATCCAGAAGGAGAGATGGGGGAGGGGGTGGGAAGGTTTGGGCCTCAATCAGGCTCAAGTTCAATGAGCATGTGTTAAGCTCCTGCTGTGTTCCCTGGGCTTTTGCACACAGGGTGTTATTCACCTTCCCCGTGGTCCTCTGGGGGAGGGTCAAGGTCCCACTGGCAGCTGAGGAAACGGAGGCTCAGCGATGTGGAAATCCCAGCCCATGTTCACGAGGCAGCAGAGCTAGGAATCAAACCCAGCAATCCTTCCCTCTGCCACACAGCCTCCTCATCGAGCTGGTGCTATTTCTACTTCCACCCGAGAGAAATGGACGCACACTTTCTCTGTGTGGCTCCTGTGGGCCCTTCCGCACTGCCCTGCTTCGTGCTCAGTTGATCTGTGTGATTCTGCACCTGCCGTGTATTTTCAGTACCCCAGAGAAATGGCCAGAGCTCATCCCAGGCAACTCTTGCCAGTGATGCAAAATTACAACCCATGAGCGATCATGGGGAGGGTATAGAGCGGGCAAAATTCAGACGTGACTTCCCACCTTGGGCGCAGCGGCTGCCTGGCCAGCTCCCCCAAGGTGGAGCAGAGCCAGGCTGAATAGAGGCTGAGTCAGAAGGGAGAGTCCTTGGGCATGCAGGCTTAAGGACGCAGGCTTGGGAGACGAACCTGGCTGATGTTCAGTTTGGGCATCACTCTCCTTAATGTACTGTAAACTGTCACTGCGGAAGAGCCGGGTGTGGATGCCACTTGTGCTCACAGCCCTTGTTTTCCCTCCCCGGCTAGGTCCTTGCTGCGAAAGTGCTCAACCTTGTGCTGCCAAACTTGTCCCTCGGGCCCATCGACTCCAGCGTGCTCTCTCGGAATAAGACAGAGGTGAGAGGCTTTCCGAAACCCCAGGGGTAGCTTGGGTGGCTGCCCCCATGGGGAATCAGAGTTTTGGCTCCAGCCTTGGCATTCTCTGCTGCCCTTTCACCGAGGCCCTGTGCAAAGTGACAAGGACACAGTGGTGCATTAGACATGGTTGGCTTCAGGTTTGGGTGAAAAGGGTGGGTTGGCTATGATGCCTGAGCTGTGTTCTAAACATGAAAGGAGCCAACAGTGGAAGTTGAGTGTGTGCCAGTCAAGTCTCTTGGTTGCAAGAGACAGAAACCTACATCAAAGTGATTTAAGCAAAAGCAGGGATTTTGTGGTGAATGGAACTGAAGGCTTCAGACATGGCTGGATCCAGGGCGTTGAAAGTCTTATTCTCCATCGGTCTCTTCCCAGCTTTCATCTCCCCTGGTTTGGCTTCATTCCCAGACAGGCTTTCCCCCAGTGAAGGCCAAGAGGGCCACCAGCAGGTTTACCTGAGCAACCCCAGTGGAAAAACAGCACCTCTTTCCAGCAAAAGTCTCAGGGCTGATTCTTACTGACTGATTATCCAGGCCTGGATTATTTGTCCAGGAAAGGGGGGTAGTATCATCCCCACCCACTGAGAGTAGAGGAAGGGGATCCCTGGGGGTAACTCAGAATAGTGGTAGCAAAGGAAGGACAGACCCATATTGCAGATGAGCAAACTGAGCCCCATAACGTGGGATGACTTGCTTGGGGTCAGCCAGTGGTGAGGCTAGCCTGGGAACGTGGGTAGGTGTGGTCTCCAGCTGTGCTCTGTCTGGGTATGGGAGTGGGCTTGCAGTTAATGGGTAGGAAGCATCCAGAAGACACCAGCATTATCTTCATGATTAAGCAAATAAGTTTGCCACTCTTCTGCCTCAGTTGCCCTCTTGCTTTAGGAGTTTGAAATCATTGAATCACTGGCTCCCTAAATCACTGAATCACTGGCTCCCTAAAGGGCCCTGGGAAGTGGAGTGCAGTGCTCTAGCATTCTGGGGATGTTCCCAGACTTCCTTGGGCTGTTGGACTCTAGCTTCATTATAAACTGTGGCCTTCTGGCCCTCTGAGTCACTTAGAGAGTGGGCAACTCAAGAGGAATAGCCCGTGGTGTGTAGGAAAGAGACTTTCTAGATCAGGGGTTGAAAACTCCTAGGCCTCTGAGGGCCAGCTGCTTAAAAATCAGACTGGTGAGAGATTCTAGCAAGCCATGAGGCCTGTGTGGAGCCAGAGGGCATCTGATCCATCCAACCCATCCACATTAATTTAAAATTCTAATATAATTTGGTTTTTAAAGCCCACAGTGCCTCCCAAACCTACATCTTGGGGCCAGGTTGGACCCATTAGGGACCAGTGTGTGGCCCCTGGTCTTTCTGAAAGAATATCTGAATAAAGGAAAAAAACTTTAATTCCAAAAAGCAGATTCATACAGTGAAAGAGCACAACTTTAGGACCCAGAAAGACCAAAGCCAAATATACACTGTTTGATTTAATCCTGACATGAATGAGATCGACATTAACCCCATTTCACAGATGAAGAAACTGAGGCTTGGAGAGGTTAAATAACCTGTTCAAGATTGCACAACTAGTCAGGGGCAGAGATGGGATTTTAGCCCATTTTATTCAAAAGTCCATGCTTTGGTGCCTCCCTCTAGCTAGTAATTATGGTCATTAAGCTCTGTTTCCTGTTTTACAATTGATTGCTGGTCCACGCAGCCCATGGCCATGGCCATTGCTCTCTGTACGGGACCCACTTTGACAGGGAAACTCAGTGTGGGGCAGGGGCTCCTGCACCTGCCTGCATCCCTCATAATGGCTCTAGCTTGAAGGTGTGGTGTCTGGTAAAACCAGTGATCTTTGTAGCGGCAGTGCCAGGACAACAGTAGGTTTGAGAAAGATGGGTCAGGGAGGGAGGGGCCTCCCTTTAAGACAAAGCACCCAGGTGCAAATCCACGTTGTTTATCTGAACACCTGAAAATACACGGGCAAAGAGGAAGAAAAAAACAGGTACTAAAAAGAGATTCCAAACCCTCTCTATTTAAAAGCATCCAATTTCAGATCTTTTCTCTCCTTTTTGCAATAATGAGAAATTCTTCGGTCTTACTCAGGATGGAAGCACCTGGTGGGGCTCCCCTCCTCTGTTCCTGCCCCACCCACAGCCCCCATCCGAGCCCTCCTGCCTCGGGTTTCTGGCTGCCCAGGTCATCAGTTATTTAGAAACACTAATAAATGTCCCTGCTGAGAAGACATGAGGAAGGGAGGTGGCCGGTCAGCCCCAAGGCTGGACTGCAGTTGGAAAAATCAAGAGCACGCCTTTCCCTCCCTCGCCTGCCGCAGCTCTGCGTCTCCCTCTGAACGTTCTGCTGAGCTTTAAAAATAGCAACGCTGAGGGGAAAATGTGTTGGGAAAGGCATCTAACATCGGGGTGTCTTGAGGCACATCTTTAGCTAAGACATTTCCCATGGAACCCTGCAGCTATAAAAGCCTCAAACCAAAAAGAAATGTTTGCCTAAGAAGCTGAGTGAGCAGGACTATGGGGGATGGGCCACTGGCCGGGAATCGAGGGTGCAGGGGCCTGGGACTCAAGAGTGCACAGGCCCCAGGGAAGATCTGGAATTCTGTCTGAAGGGAAGCGGGTTAGCTCTGTTGCCAGAATGTCAGAAGCAGAATGTTTGGTGTTTGCTGTGACAAGCATTCTCACAACCCACCCAGGACTGCTAGTGGGCTCTCTTCACTTGCGTCGCCCCAAAGCTGCCACCCTATAGAGCCACATTCTCGCCGCATGTGTGAAGCCTTCAGGAAAAAAGGCATAAGAGGACTTTTTATTGTCTCAACACTACCCAATGCACAATGATGGCATCATTCTTCTGTGCCAGACACTAGAGCCCTTCTGGTCTCACCATGACCCCAGGAAGTCAGTCTTATTACCAGCATTTGTAGTTGTAGAAGTGTGGGCCCAGAAAGGGCAAGTCACTTGCCCAAGAACACAGCTACTCCGGGCCAAGTGCCCTTGGCACTCAAACCCAGGGAACAAAGAAGTTGCTACACAGACATTTATTATGTTTGTCAATATATTTAGGGTCCCTGATCAGAACATCAGAATACTGACATGGTAATCATTCCACCCCAAAAAGGCTTTATCAGAATGTGATGAATCCCTTCCTACTCTGAGAAGCCTTGAACGTGATTCTAAAGAGTTCTATGGCCAAGGACGCTGTGGGAGGAGGTGAGGAGGAGAGGTTGTTCAGCATCTGCCCATGCCCTCAGCCATCCACATACTCAGGCGGAATGCACTGCTTCCTCTCCCAGGCTGTGGAAGGGGTGGAGGCGGGAGGCAGAGGCCATGATTCTGAGCACACCTTGTGCTAGGAACCTCAGCTGCTTATCTCCTGAGGCCACTTGTCTTCTAGAGCCCAGTCTCTGTTCTTTATAAGTACCCTGGGAGGCCCTTCCTGCGCATCTGCTAGTTTATATTCCCTCAGGCAGGCCATATGCTGAGTTCTGAGCACCCGGGAGCCATGAGGAGTGGCCACTCAGCTTCCTTTTTTGTCTCCTCTGCCCGGTGTTTCGGATGTGCCCAATGTCGAGGAGTTGGCTCCAGGTCCCCCTGTTGCCTGCCTGTCCTGCACCCATGCTGCCCAGAGGCCCTCGGAAGGCTCCTGCCGGGTCTTGGAAAGCTCGGCCGTGCTGAGGCCTTCGACTTAAGCGTAACCACAGCTAAAGATGGGCTTCAGCCTCCCACACTGTCCCCAGGACACAGCCTTCCACGGGAGTTCCCTCCGAGAACGAGCTAAGAACCTTCCAGCAAACTCGGTTTGGCTAGCAGATTTTATTCTGTGGCTCTCTATCGTTCATCACTTACATTCCCCACAGCATATACTTGTCTATTTGAGACAGTCTTATTACCAGTATTTGCAGCTAAAAATTTCCCAATGCCCTAAAAAAACAACAGGCACTAGAAAGTCTCTTGGGCATATGGCTCCATGTGGGGTGGTGGCGAGGGAGCGTGTGAATTGCTCTACGTTGCTTTTGCGCCCTGCACCACCCTCTGTAGATGTTCCAGCTCTGGACCCGCTCCCAGTCCCACTCCTGCCGGCCACCAAGGCTGGGAGAAACGGCTGTGAGCTCATGACAGGCAGATCCTGGAAGTATGATGCTTTAATGGCAGCAGAAAACCAGGGACTGCAGAGACTGTCAGGGAAGCCACAGCTGCCAGCAAAATACAGGACACACTGAGGAGTTCTCTGTGTCCAGCAGGCCCAACTGAGCTTCTTTCTCAGTACCTTTGTGGGTACGTGGGACATGCACATAGTAGGGCCTTGGCAGTGGAGGAAAGAAAGATGTGGGCTCAGTTGGGCTTCCGTGGGAACATAGCCTGGGCAAAGCTCTCTCAAAGACACCTCTCAGCTGTTGTGAATAACGCTGCTGTGCCCGTGGCGGTGCAGATATCTACTCCAGACCCTGCTTCCATTCTTTTGGGTATGTATGTACCCAGAAGTGGGATTGCTGGGTCATATTCTGCTGGTAATTTTGGAGGAACCATGCTGCCATTTTCCACGGTGGCTGTGCCATTTCACATTCTCACCAACAGTGCTCAAGGGTTCCAGTGTCCCTACATCCTCGCCAACACTAGTTAGGTTGTGTTTTTTGATAGTAGCCATCCTAATGGGTATGGAGTGGCATCTCAGTGTGGCTTTGATTTCTATTTCCCTAATGGTTAGTGATGCTGAGTGTCTTTTCATGTGATTTTTGGATATTTGTATGTTGTCTTCTTCTTCTTCTTCTTCTTTTTTTTTTTTTTTGAGATGGAGTTTCTCTCTCGTCGCCCAGGCTGGAGTGCAGTGGCGCGATCTTGGCTTACCACAACCTCCACCTCCCAGATTCAAGCGATTCTCCTGCCTCAGCCTCCTGAGTAGCTGGGATTACAGGCGCGTGCCACCACACCAGGCTAATTTCATATTTTTAGTAGAGACGGGGTTTCTCCATGGTGGTCAGGCTAGTCTCGAACTCCTGACCTCAGGTGATCAGCCCGCCTCAGCCTCCCAAAGTGCTGGGATTACAGGTGTGAGCCACTGCACTGGGACCTTGTATGTCTTCTTTAGAGAAATGTTTGTTCAGATCCTTTGCCCATTTCTTTTCTTTTTCCTATTTCTTGTCTATTGTTTTTCTTTTTCTTTTTTTTTTAGTTTAATTTAATTTTAAGTTCCAGGATACATACGCAGGATGTGCAGGTTTGTTACATAGGTAAACATGTGCCATGGTGGTTTACTGCACCCAGCAACCCATCACCTAGGTATTAAGCCCCACATGCATTAGCTATTTATCCTGATGCTCTCCCTCCCCCCGTGCCCCTCCTCCTGACAGGCCCCAGTGTGTATTGTTCCCCTCCCTGTGTCCATATGTTCTCATTGTTCAGCTCCCATTTATAAGTGAGAACATGTGGTGTTTGGTTTTCAGTTCCTGCGTTAGTTTGCTGAGGATAATGGCTTCCAGCTTCACCCACGTCCCTGCAAAGGACATGATCTTGTTCCTTTTTATGGCTGCATAGTATTCCATGATGTATATGTACCACATTTTCTTTATCCAGTCTATCATTGATGGGTATTTGGGTTGATTCCATGTCTTTGCTATTGTGAGTAGTGCTACAATAAACATACGTGTGCATGTATCTTTATAATAGAATGATTTATATTCCTTTGGGTGTATACCCAGTAATACCCAAAGGGATTGCTGGGTCAAATGGGGTTTCTGTTGTCTTCCACGATGGTTGAACTAATTTACATTCTCACCAACAATGTAAAAGTGTTCCTATTTCTCCACAGCCTCACCAGCAACTGTTGTTTCTTGACTTTTTAATGATCACCATTCTGACTGGCGTGAGATGGTATCTCATTGTGGTTTTGATTTGCATTTCTCTGATGATCGGTGATGTTGAGCTTTTTTTCATGTGTTTCTTGGCCACATAAATGTCTTCTTTTGAAAAGTGTCTATTCATATCCTTTGCCCATTATTGATGGGGTTGTTTTTTTCTTGCAAATTTGTTTAAATTCCTTGTAGATTCTGGATATTAGACCTTTGTCAGGTGGATAGATTGTAAAAATTTTCTCCTATTCTGTAGGTTGTCTGTTCACTCTAATGATAGTTTCTTTTGCTGTGCAGAAGCCCTTTCTGTGCAGAAGCTCTTTAGTTTAATTAGATACCATTTGTTAATTTTTGTTTTTGTTGCACTTGGTGTTGACATTTTCATCATGAAATCTTTGCCCGTGCCTAAGTCCTGAATGGTATTGCCTAGATTTTCTTCTAGGGATTTTATAGTTTTGGGTTTTACATTTAAGTCTTTAATCCACCTTGAGTTAATTTTTGTATATGGTGTAAGGAAGGGGTCCAGTTTAAATTTTCTGCATATGGCTAGCCAGTTTTCCCAGCACTGTTTATTAAATAGGGAGTCCTTCCCCCATTGCTTGTTTTCATCAGGTTTGTTAAAGATCAGATGGTTGTAGATATGCAGTCTTATTTCTGAGATCTCCATTCTGTTCCATTGGTTATATGTCTGTTTGTGTACCAGTGCCATGCTGTTTTGGTTACTGTAGTCTTGGAATGTAGTTTGAAGTTAGGTAGCATGATTCCTCCAGCTTTATTCTTTTTGCCTAGGATTGTCTGGCCCATCGTTTGCTTTGCTCATTTCCTAATTGGGTTGTTTGTTATTTGTTGTTAAGTTGCAGGAGTTCTGTATATGTTCTGGATATTAACCCCTTATGTGGATATTAACCACATATACAAATATAATTCGCAAGTATTTTCTCCTATTCTGTGGGCTGCCTTTTCCCTCTGCTGATAATGTACTCTGAAGCATAAGGGTTTTTTTCTTTCTGATGTAGTCCAGTTTATCTGTTTTTCTTTTGTTGCCTGTGCTTTTGGTGTCATATCCAAGAAGTTGTTGCCAAATCCAATGTCATGAAGTGGATACCTTGTTTTGGCTGAACCATGTGAAAGTAAACTGCAGACACCACGA
This sequence comes from Homo sapiens, assembly GCF_000001405.40. NCBI lineage: Eukaryota > Metazoa > Chordata > Mammalia > Primates > Hominidae > Homo > Homo sapiens. Next base: position 127,703,566 of record NC_000003.12, on the reverse strand, counting down.
TCCTGAATGCGCCTGAATACTTCCGCCTGGGTTGCCCAAGAGGAAGGACTCAAAACAGAGGCTTTCACACAGGACCCCATGCCATTATCACATTTAGGAAAAGTAACAGTCATTCCCCCTTGTTGTCCTCGATCTAATCCATGCTCCAGTTTCCACAGTTGTCACCATTTAAGACTTGAGACTGCATGATTTTGCTGTTCTGTGATCAGCAGTTATGAAAGTGGTCCTGCAAGACCTGGGAATTCTTTCTTGTTTCTCTTATTATTCCTCAAATCCCTGAGCCTGTGAGAAGGCAGAGAATGTGGTGGCTGCTTTTTCCTTTCCCTTGGTGGTCACCTAGGAGCACTTCTGTGTTCAGAGCCACATTCCAGGGCCCTCCATTCCAAAGGACAGAAAGAGGTTGACTTTTTGCATCACTTCTGGTTGTGAAGACTCTGAAGCCCTGCAGAAGGAATCCTGGGGGAGGAGACAGTGGTGGGGCGGGGCTATGCAAACAGCTCTCCCCATTTGCCGGGGCTGCGACCTGCAGAGCCATTCCTACCTCACTGCTCTTAAAAGTGGATGCTAGGGCTGGATGGACGCGGTGGCTCATGCCTGTAATCCCAGCAATTTGGGAGGCCGAGGTGGGCAGATCACCTGAGGTCAGGAGTTCGAGACCAGCCTGGCCAACATGGTGAAACCCCGTCTTTATTAAAAATACAAAAATTAGCAGGGCATGGTGGCGTGTGCCTGTAATCCCAGCTACTCGGGAGGCTGAGGCAGGAGAATCATTTGAACCTGGGAGGCAGAGGTTGCAGTGAGCCAAGATCGCACCACTGCACTCCAGCCTGGGCGACAAGAGCGAGACTCCATCTCAAAAACAAACAAACAAACAGATGCCAGGATGTCCAGGAGTTCAAACCTTCATACTAAAAAGTAATTTGGCGGAAAGAATGCTCATTAATTTGCATACCCTTGATTAAGTGGCAACTCAGAATTGTAGGCTGATCCTTGATTATCCTCTTTCTGTCCAAAATGGCACTGCAGCTTCCAGGAGAGGAGAATGTGGAGCAACATCTTCTTTCCAAATGGCCCTGATCTGGTTCAGGAATTTCAGCCACTGAGGCTGGGCGCCAGCTGGGGCTGGCCCAAGGCAGGGTAAGGTCACTGTGGGGACTCAGGCCTCCTGGTAGGCAGGGCTTGCTTGGGTCTATCGAGCCGGGGAAGCTTTCTGCTGAGTCAGGCAGGGCCTATCTCCCCTCTGCCACCCTGCAGGCAGCTCACCACACCAACAAACTTTCTCAGGGTTCCCACTCCAGCCAGGCTAGAGCTGGAGGCTGTGACACCCCATGAGTTGCCCTGTTGTCCCTGCCAGCCAGGCCCATCAACTGCAGTGGCCCAGAGGGGAAAGAGGCGGTAGGCTCAGTGGGAAGAGCACAGGCTTCCAAAAGGACCTGAGTCTGGACCCCGCTCCATCTCCTCAGTGTGACCTTGGAAGCCACACTCAGTCTTGCCCTTCCTCAGATCCCTCCAGATGACTGCACAGCCACCTAGCACAGTGTGGACCCTAGCAGGTGAGAGCTGTTGCTATCACAGCTCTGAGAGAGGCCCACTGAAGGAGGTGCTGGTGAAGATACAGGAGCCTGGGGAGAGAAGCATGGATGTTGGCGAGGGTGTCTGGGCACCTGTCCACAGGAGGAAATGCTTAACCTGGGCTTTGAAGAGAAGGAACAGGGTTGCTGGCAGATAAGAGAAAGGCCGTGGAAGGGGATGGTGGAAACGGAGATATCGGGGCCAGTCTGTAGTGCAGACGACAAGCACATGAGGAAAGGGGTCTGGGGATGACACACACGGGACCGGGGAAGGCTGCCTGCAGGAAGGGCAGCTGAGCCGAGGGTTGATAGGGAGGGAGAAACTCCACAGGCAGCCAAGGAAGGGGTCTGAAGGCTGAGGGGACATGCTGTGCAAGGGCCCTGGGGTCAAGGGGAGTGGGGAGTGTTAAGGGAGGGCAGGGATGGAGGTGTCCCAGGCCATACCAAGAAGTTAGGACTTTGCCCTGCAGCCCCCATGGGAAGCACCACAGGGTTCTTCACAGAGGGAGACAGGTACAGATCTGTGAGTCTGAAATGGGACTTATCTCTGCGTGACAGGGACCCAATGCCGTGAGCCCTCTGGGGGCTGACAGCAGTGGCCAGGGTGCTACAGGCTTGGGAGGGAATGTGTGGGAGAGGAAGCACGCCATGGCCACGCCAAGCACAGCTGTTTCCAGCCTTCAGCATGTTCCAAATTCAGGCCAACTTCCACAGGACATTGACGTTGTTTTTTTTGTTGTTGCTATTGTTGTTGGTGGTGGCTTTTTTTTTTTTTTTTTTGGAGGCAGGGTCTCGCTCTCTTGCCCAGGCTGGAGTGCAGTGGCGTGATCTCAGCTCACTGCAGCCTCCACCTTTTGGGCCCAAGCAATCCTCCCACCTCAGCCCCCGCAGTAGCTGGGACTACAGGTGTGCACCACTATACCAGGCTAATTTTTGTATTTTTTGTAGAGATGGGGTTTTACCATGTTGCCCAGGCTGGTTCTGAATTCCTGGGCCCAAGTGATCTGCCCACCTTGTCCTCCCAAAGTGCTGGGATTACAGGCATGCACCACCGTGCCCAGGCTACGGTACATTCTTATTTGCGTTTAGGATATTCCATAGGCCTGGGGTTCAGCACAATGCACTGAAGGAAAGCAATGCCAAGCGGCTCCAAAAGCAAGCTATCGGGGCTTTCCACGTGTGCACGCAGAAAGGCCATTCACTGAATGAAATGACAAGGGCCTCCCCTTTCGAGGGTCCTAAGTCTCATTCCCATTGTGGACACTGTCTTGGCCAGCAGGTGGCCAGCGGTTGCCAGCTGCCGTGAGGTCTGTGCTGGCCTCTCAGTACCCAAAGGTGCTACTTCTTGGGCTGGATTAGGGAATGGTTTGCTTATTCATCCATTGCACCAGAGTTTACCAAAGGCTTCCCCTGTGCCAGCCACCGTGCAGGCCATGCAGAGGACAGGACAGACAGAGCCCTGACCCTCACGTGGGGCAGACATGTGGGAAGAGATGTGCTGATTGCAGACCAGGCCAAGTGAGGCATGGGAGAAGGGTTTTGGGGCAGCAGAGTCTGTGGGGGTCTGGGAAGGCTGAGCTGAGGCCTGAAAGCGGAGTAGACAATGTTAATTAAGCTAAGAGCAAGGGGCTGAAAAGCTGTTTGTGATGGGAGACAGAAGCCATCACAGGAGGATTCTCTCATCCAGCTCTTTCCACCACAAATTATGTCTCCGGCCATTCAAGACAAAGGTGGGAAATGAGGACATCGTCTCTGCAAAGACTTGCCAGTTTTTGTTAGGGTTCCTGCAGGTTTCTAAATTTCACAGAGATCACTCAGGTAGAGTGTCATGCACTCTTTCTCTATTATGCCAGAGAAGGCTATCCGAGTTCCCTGTATTGGAAATGGATGGATTAAGAGAGATCTAAACAATGGAGGAAGAAGGTGGGAATTCCAGGATGGGCTCTAAAGCCCAGGTGGAAGGGTGACGCTTCCGTAGGAAAAGGGAGGAGATTGCAGGGAAGGAGGGGCAGGAAGAGCCAGCTGTGGACAGATCTACAGGGATGAAGCCTGCTGGGTTGTATTTCTCTGTGATTAGGGGTGCATCCAGGAGGGCACATGCCTGTCTGTGCCCAGAAGGGCTCCCCTATCCCCTCTGGCTGGCTGTGAAGGGCGGTAACCCCTGGGCCCCACCAGATCACTTCACCATCTGTCAGGCCCATCTGCTTATGGTCCTCATCAGGGACCATTCCTGCCTTTTCTGAGAGCACTAGTGCCCCTGCCACCTGCATAGCTCCTGGCTGTCTATGCCCCAGCACTGACCTTCACCTTCTCCTCTCGAGACAGGCAGCAGAGCATGGTAAGTGGCTAAGAATGCTGATGGCAGTGGCAGAGTGCCTAGGTTCTTACCTTGGCTCTGCCTCTTGCTGTGTAACCTTGGGTGAGTCATCTAACCTCTCTGAGCTTGTCTCCTCATATGTAAAAAGGTAATAATAATAGTTCCTACATCACAGGGTTCCTGTGAAGATTAAATGAGCAAGTGCGAGTGAAGCACTTACTACAGCACCTAGTAAAGAGTCAAGGGCTCCACGCATTAGTTATTTTTCATAGTATTCTAATTAAACTCTGATATTGCATTTCATCATGGAACAATTTAAAAAAAAAATGGGTCAAGAGATTTGACTGCAGGGGTTGTGTCTAGATTTTGCTCAAACGTAAGTGTAAGAAAACTCCCAGCTGAGGATTGCAGCTGTATTTACTGTACTTCAGTGCAAAGTTTCTTCCCACAGAGAGACAGTGCTGGAAATTCAGAAGACCCAGCTGGTATATTCCTGGCTGTCAAGCTCAACAGGAGGCCAGCTTGTGAAACTTAAAACCCAAGAGGAGGCTTTGGGGTCCCCTGATGGGGAAACTGAGGCCCAGGAAGGCGTAGAGCCTTACCATACTCCCAACCCCCACCCCGGGGAAAAAAAGACTTCAACTCTCAGCCAGTGGGGGCTCCCCAGGAAATCAGTTATCTAGAGCCATGGTGGGGGTGGTCACTTGGACCTGGGTCCCCAGCTTGGGCTCCTGCTTCCAGCTGCCATGTCCCCAGCAGACCCTGGTCTCAGCTGGTGGGAGCCATGGTGAGCCAAACAGGAAGGTGGCGGTGTGAGAGACTGTGCCAAAGCCTGGGCCTTTGTTACTTGTTCTTAGTTAAATTTTTCATTTAAGATCACTGTAACTCACAAGCAGCTATAAGAAATAATACAGAGCGATTCCATGTACCCATTACCCAGTTTCCCCCAGCAGTGACATTTTGCAAAACGACAGGACAATATCACAACCAGGATACTGACCTTGACACAGTCAAGTCACAGATGGCTCCATCCCCACAAGGACCCCTCATGTTGCCCTTTTGCAGCTGCATCCCCTCCCCACTCGCCCCACACCCTCCTCAGCCCTGAGAGCCGTGAGTCTGGTCTCTGTTTCTCTAGTTTTGTCACGTGAAGAACATTACATCAGTGGAATCATGCAGTGTGGAATATTTGGGGACTGACTCTGGTCCCTATTGAATGAATGGGCTCATGTTCTGGGCTTGGGCCTGGTTTGGGAGGAAGGGGCCTGGCTATCTCCTTCCTGGGAGCCACAAGCCACATTCCTAGGACTTTTGGTGGATTGAGATCTTAAGCTGTCAAAAAATCAAGGCCATTGTGCTTGTGCCAGAACTGCCACTTGAGGGGAGGGTTTGGCCCCTCTGTGCCTCAGTCTCCCCATGTGGTACAGCCCTCCCCAACCTCCTGGTCCCAGTTTCCCTCTGCCCCTCACCTCCGGTCCAGGCTGTGGTTCACATCAGGGGCCTGCTCTTTCTCTGACACATCTGGTGGCTGGGCCCCAGGCCCAGAATAGGCCATTGTGTAAACAGGGCCTACGTGATCAAGACATGGAAAACGAAGCCAAGAGCAGGAAGCCGCTTGGGCCGTCAGTGCAATTAAACTCAGAAGCAGAGTCCCCGAGCGCCTGCTGTGCCCAGGACACTTGGGGTCAGCGGGGCAAAGCAGCAGGCCTGCTGCAGGAAGAAGGTGGTTGTAAGACATCGCTAGCAACAGGGGCGAGGGTGTGGCCCCCACCCCACAGGTCCCATGGGAGCCCTGGAGACAGCATGGGATGGGGTGGTGGCCCAGCCCAGGGCACCGCCAGCCTGCTGGAACCCATACCCCCAACAACAGCAGCTTAACCAAGAGAGGGGGTGACTTCTTGGCATCAGGACACCCATCTTGTTGCTCTAGCTTCCAGGGGCGAACCTTGTCCACACGGCCCTGACTCTTTCTGTGGGGCAAGGAGAAAATAAGCCGTCAACCCAGAATGTGCACACAGCCCCTGCCTGCTTTCTATTGGCCAGAACGTGGTCATGTGACCACACCTAGCTGCAAGGGAGACTGGGAAATGTAGTCTCTATTCTGAGCAGTTGTGTACCGAAGGAAACATCAAGGTTCTGTAGGGCAGAACAAGAATTGGGGCAACTAACAGCAGGCAGGTTGACAAGCCTCTCTGTGCCTTAGTTTCCTCCTCTGTGTAGTGGAGAGAATGAGAGCAATTCCTCATACAGGGGAGTTATGGAGGCCCAGTGAGTTACTGCATGCAAAAACACTTAGTGCCGGGCAGACAGCCAGAGCTCAGATGTAGCTATTATTACTTTTATTACTCAATGAGACCCTGCATGTCGCAGCCCTGCACAGGCTGGTAGATGGCGCTGCTGTTGGTGACTCCAAGCCCCAGGCTCTTTTGCGGGCCCTACAGCCCTCCTTCCCTCAGGGCTCCTGGCTGACCCTGGGGAAGCACCCCCTGTGGTTGGGCCTGGCCATGGGCCCCCATGAACTGCCCTGCCAGTCCCGTGTCCTCTCAGGCTCCGAGCAGATGGCCCGGCCCAGCAGGACTCATGCCAGCTCAGCTGCAGGAAGTGGCTAATCTGTCTCGTGTGGATTTACACAAATGGTCTGGTTTTTGGTGCTCAGTCCCCAGCATGGGAAGGAATCCAGGGATGGCAGGGGTGACTGCAGGACAGCCTCTCCCACTTGGTGTGGTCCAGAATTCTGGCCGAGGCCTTGTAGGGGTGGCAGCAGAAGGGGTGTAGCTCAGTTCTTGGAAATGCTGAGTCCTAGCACAGTGGGCACCCTGGTTGCCCGGGGAGCAGCTGGCAGCATGTTCCTTCCTCGTCCCCACATGCTCTCTGACCCTCACCCAGTCCTCACCACGTGGCCCCTCCCCAACCCACCAAGAACCCACTGGCAAGGATGACAAACATGAATGAAGAAGCATCATGGGGCCGGGCGCGGTAGCTCATGCCTATAATCCCAGCACTTTGGGAGGCCGAGGCGGGTGGATCACCTGAGGTCAGGAGTTTGAGACCAGCCTGACCAACATGGCAAAACCCCGTCTGTACTAAAAATACAAAAATTAGCTGGGTGTGATGGCCGGCGCCTATAATCCCAGCTACCTGGGAAGCTGAGGTAGCAGAATCACTTGAACCCTGGAGGCAGAGGCTGCAGCGAGCCAAGATCGTATCACTGCACTCCAGCCTGGGTGACAGAGGGAGACTCCGTCTCAAAAAAAAAAAAAAAAAAAAAAAAAAAAAAAAAAAGAAGCATCAGGGGCTCACTCCTGCCCTCTATGGGCCTGAGAGATTCCTAGAAACTTCTCCCCGATCCTGTAGGGCAGATGCTAGAGAGATCAGGGCAGTGGAGCCTGAGCTGTCTTTATGGAGGCAGGAAGAGTGAAGCCAGAAACCCAGACAGGCCAGGGAGAGCAAGGACAGGGGAGAGAGCAGCCCCTTGAAAGGCAAGATCCACAGGGTGGTGGTTGAGGAGAGAGGACCCACATCCCGTAGAGGGGGAGAGTTGGCCTTGGGCACAGCCTGTCAGGGCGTCTGACCACCCTGTGTAGCCCTGAGGGGCACGGAGGCCGAGCCCACCCCAGCCAGACCCACCCTTGGGCGTCCCTCACCCCAAAGCCCATTGTCAGTGCCTGGCCGAAGCCCCTCCAGGGGCTCCTAGCATGGGCCCTCGCTTTCCAGCACAGAACCCAGTAAACTGTTCCTGCAGTTTACTGTTTGCCCCTCATCCACTTCCACCAGGTGGACACCAAATCAGCAGAGACAGAGAACAAAAATCAAGTGCTAAAACTGCTGCAGAGCTACTTTTTAATAAAATAATTGATGTGAACAATATGCTGCTGCTTATATTTTTTAAAATACAAATTAATACTTGAAACTTTCGTTTTTTTTAATTTTTTTTTGAGACGGAGTCTTGCTCTGTCGCCTAGGCTAGAGTGCAGTGGCGCCATCTTGGCTCACTGCAAAGTCCGCCTCCCAGGTTCAAGGGATTCTCCCACCTCAGCCTCCCAAGTAGCTGGGATTACAGGTGCCCACCACCACGCCCAGCTAGTTTTTGTATTTTTACAAAAATACAAAAAATCCCATACAGACGTGGTTTCACCATGTTGGTCAGGCTGGTCTTGAACTCCTGACCTCAGGTGATCCGCCCGCCTCAGCTTCCCAAAGTTCTGGGATTACAGGCATGAGCCACCACACCTGGCCAATACTTGACATTTTCTACAGGCACCCATGTGTATGTGAAACCCTCAAGCCTGAAAGGAGAGGCACTGCCAGTGGTGCAGATGAGGTTTGTGGATGAACACGGCTGGCCTTCAGAGCCATGCCCAAGCCCAGCTGACCTGAATGGAATCAACCCTTCAGGCCAGAGCAGAAGGAAAAGCTACCAGGAAATAGGCCTGGCTTATGGAAGTGAGCCCTGCCCATGCTGATGGAACCCTCTCCTTCTTCCTCCAGGTCGACATTTATAACTCAGACCCCCTGATCTGCCGGGCAGGGCTGAAGGTGTGCTTCGGCATCCAACTGCTGAATGCCGTCTCACGGGTGGAGCGCGCCCTCCCCAAGCTGACTGTGCCCTTCCTGCTGCTCCAGGGCTCTGCCGATCGCCTATGTGACAGCAAAGGGGCCTACCTGCTCATGGAGTTAGCCAAGAGCCAGGACAAGACTCTCAAGGTGAGCGGCTGCCACTTGCCCACTTCCCCCCAAGGTGGAGGGGGGACAGGAAGGCAGCACCCCTTGGGGCACATCTGCCCAGACCCTCGAGGGCCACCTCCCAGGTCTCAGGATAGGGACCAGCCTGCTTGACCGAGAAATAAATAAATAAAAGGAATCCCAGGAGCCTATGAATTTCAAGAGAACACGAGTCATTTGCTGATTGTTTTGCATGAATAAGCCTCAAAGGGAAGAAGAACAATCAAAAGATGTTATAGGCAAGAAAGGAATCTGCAACTGGGCACTGAGCAAATAAAATCTCCTGAGAGAGAGACATGTCCAAGCTCCAAGGACACGTGTGATGCCCAAGCCTCCCTCTGCACCAGTGGTAGCTGCAGTAGCTCGGGAGCCATGGCCACCAGAGGGCTCAGGGCACACAGGTGCTGGCAGGACTTGGCAGAGCCTGATCCGTGAAGGGAGCTGCCAGAGCTAGCTCTGCAGACAGGGGCCCTGAGGACAGGCCCTGCGGCTTGGTTATGTGGAATATTAGACAGCAAGACTATATATATATACACACACACATATATATACACACATACATATATATACACACATATATATACATACATATATATACACATATATATACACATACATATATATACACATATATATATACACACATACATATATATATATATATATATATTTTTTTTTTTTTTTTTTCAGACAGAGTATCCCTCTGTCACCCAGGCTGGAGTGCAGCGGCGCCATCTCGGCTCACAGCAACCTCTGCCTCCCAGGTTCAAGTGATTCTGCTGCCTCAGCCCCCTGAGTAGCTGGGATTACAGGCGCCTGCCACCCTGCCCGGCTAATTTTTGTATTTTTAGTACAGATGGGGTTTCATCATGTTGACCAGGTTGGTCTCACTCCTGACCTCAGGTGATCCACCTGCCTTGGCCTCCCAAAGTGCTGGGATTGCAGGCGTGAGCCACCTCACCCAGCAAAATATATTTTTTAAAAGCCACAGTGGAACACTGCATTCATCCATGAGAGCATCACTGAGACCGCCCTTACACCAATGTGAACCCTTGCCAAGTCCCTGCGAAAGGAGTCCGCTAAGATTGTTTATTCATTCATTTACCCAGCTATCCATTCATTGCTTCTTTAATTCAAGTATTTATGGGGCCCTAAGTTTCTGTCAGGCCCAGAGAACAAGACAGGCAAAGGCTCTGCCCTGCCCCCCCGGAACCTGTATCCTGGTGGGATGAGCAAATAAATGAAACGGATGATGATGGAGAGGAGTCGGTGCCCCTAAGGAAACTCAGCAGAGTGTAGTGTAGGCATAGAGGGGGACAGGGGGAAAGCAGCACTTTAGATGGGACAGCCAGGCCTGCAGTCTGTTGGTGAGAAGAGCCAGTGGAAGAACCTTCCAGACTGAGGCAAGAGAGAGATTGAGGACCTGAGGCTGGCATAGGCACGCAGCCATAAGAAGAGCAGCCAGTGAGGATGCACCAGTCAGGGACGCTGGTGGCGGGGGGCAGGGGAGCCCCACCACCTGTGAAGTCTAAACTTCTTCTCTTGGTTAGATGAGAAGCCACATGAGCATTTCAAGCCAAGGAGTGACGTGCTGTGATTTTCATTTTAAAAGCATCCCCCCGTGGCCTTGGGAAGACAGGAGCTGGGGTAAGGAGGAGGTAGGAGACAGTGACAACCAAGGCAGGTCAAGCCAGGCAGGGTGGCAGAGAGTGAGATCACTGTCATGAAGGACGACCCCTGGGTTTGGGCTTGCAGTAATGAGGAGGCTGTAATGAGACCGGAAACGCCAGGCAGAGAGACTGACGTGAGCAACGGCTGGAGTCCACCTGGAGATGCCCATTAGCGTCGCACTGAAGTCTGGAGGTCCCTGCCAGAAATTCGGATGGAGATGGCAGGTCGGCAGTCTAGAGGCAGAAGGGAAGTCTGGCTGGAGATGTAAATTCCGGAGTCATCAGCCCAGGATGGATTTTAAAACCACTGGACTGGACAAGGTGACCAGGGAGAGTGAAGGAGGGCACAGCCAAGCCCGTAGTCCAGCCGCCTGCAGAGGCCAGTGGGTGGGGTGAGCCTGGACTGAGAAGGATCTGCCGGCTAGGTTGAAAGAAAATCAAAAGTTAAAGCCATGGAACCACAAGAGGAAAGTGTTTCTAGAAGGTGACAGTGAGCAGCTTATGAATGACCAGCACAGTGTCCCCTGCCACAGCAATGGAGGTCCCTGGAGACCTCGCCAGGCTAGCCACCGTGGGTTGGCGGGAGTGGAAGTCGGCTTGGGATGAGCTGAGGACCCCGTGGAGGTCAGGATGTGAGGCCGGGAGTGGAACCCCCTCTTTTGAGAAGGTTGCCTGACTCAGAGACACAGAAACGGGTCCAGGGATGGGGAGAGATGTGGAGTGAGGGAAGGTTTGCATTTGAGAAAGGAAGTTCGAGAACACACTGGGACATTGTAACACATTTGAACCATCTTCTGATAGAAAGGTGTTGGCCTCCTAATAATGGGAGGTCAGGGCCAGGTCCTCGGGCATAGGGAGAGGGTCCGGAGAATGCTGCAGACCCCTGCCCACTGCCCACGGTCTCCGCTCCCTGCACCTGCCTCTGATGGTGCAGCTCTGATTCCGTGTCTCTCCTCATTGCAGATTTATGAAGGTGCCTACCATGTTCTCCACAAGGAGCTTCCTGAAGTCACCAACTCCGTCTTCCATGAAATAAACATGTGGGTCTCTCAAAGGACAGCCACGGCAGGAACTGCGTCCCCACCCTGAATGCATTGGCCGGTGCCCGGCTCATGGTCTGGGGGATGCAGGCAGGGGAAGGGCAGAGATGGCTTCTCAGATATGGCTTGCCAAAAAAAAAAAAAAAAAAAAATCAGAAATTGGAGAAATCCTTAGCACAATTTTCTAAAAAATAACAGACATTTTTGTTATACATTAGACTATCAGACACTGGACCTACCTTAATGGTTAGACACTTTATGCAAAAAAAGAGAAAGGTCCCAGGTGATTTTCCACAAAGAATGTGCTAAAATGTCCACTGAAAACAAAGCCAAGCCTCTGCCCTGCCTCTCCCAGCTCCCACAAGGGTTCCAGGAATTCCTGGTGTTCCCAGGACACCAGACTGCAATAACTGGAGGCGCCTCCTTCCTGCCCACCCTTCGCTCACGCCCCAGCGCCCTCTCTGACCAGCCTCCGCTTGGTGGCCTTCCTCTGGCCGTGTGATGAGGTGGTTGCTGTCTCCATAGGGGCCAGCTCCCCAGGGCAGACTCACGTGCCCCTCTGAGGCTCAGAAAATGCCCAGCCCTTCCTCAAAATGAGCAGCCACCCATGACTTTGTGGGCTCCTTGTTAGCCTGAGACCAGGCTTTGCAGAGGGGCGGGGGGTGAGGCTTAGCCCAGAAGGAGAACTGAGCAGGAAACCAAGGCTCTTCTCTGTCCCCTGCCCTTCCCCTCCTGCCAGGGGGAGGCTCAGGTTGGTCCCCGAGTGCCGCCTGTACTCACAAAGGCTGCCTTTCCTCTAGAGTCACTAATTTTACCTGATGCTATGAGAGAATCATATTGAAGATGAAATGTCTAATATATAATGTATATTTTAAAGCAGAGACTATTTTGGTGGATAGGTGGGAGGGAGCAAGGGGAGTTTGAGGGAATCAGAGCTTGATGCTACTGTACAGAACTGGACAGGTTGGGCCGGCAGTGGTGGGGCCAGAGGGCTCTGTGCTCTAGGAGCTAAGCCAGCAGCCCCCGAGAGGGGACTTGGCTGGGCCTTTCCTATGGGCAAGGCCCAGTGCTCTTCCTGCCCACCAGGGACCATGGAGCAGTGGCACCCTATGGGGCTATGATCCCTAGGCCTGGGCCTGGGCCTGCCTATGGCCCAGAGCTACCCTGGGAGTGTCAGTGCTAGCAGCACAGCTACCTCTGGTGGCAGGAGAAGAGAGGCCCAGCACAGCAGCAGGCCAGGCCTTCCTGTCCAGGTCTGCATGGAGCACTCGGTGACCCAGAGCAGGGACTGGAGGCACCCCCAGCCCTGCCCCAGGCCACAGCAGGACAGGCCGGGACAGGCCTCACCCAAGGCCAAGGCTGGCATCAGCCAATCATTCAGAGCTGAGGCCCTGGGCCTAGCCTGCCCTTCTCAGGTGCCAATACCACCCCAGCCCTGCCCTTGGCCTCACTTTTTCCCAGCAATAAGTGGGGTTCACCACCCGCCTCGGGAATACTTTCCCCTTCTAAATGGGACTTGCTGTTACCTCAGGAGGCTCCTTAGTGCAAATATGACCCTGGTCAGGGCTTTGCCACCGTTGAAGCCCTGCAGAAGGTGCAATGTAGGGGTTCTGGGGCCACAGAGGAGAGGCCACTTCCCACCAGGACCCCCAACATGAAGTCTAGGCCTCAGGGGCTCCCGCCCTTCTTCCTCCAGCAGCGGGAACTGCCACTGCTCTCCCAGGCCCTGTTCTGGAGGCTAACCTTGGTTCCTGGAGAGTGTGCCCCTCCACCCTCCCTCCAGCAGCCCTGATCACACCATGAGAGCCAGGAACGGGTCACCCTGCTGAAGATCACTCTGTGCCCTGGGGGAGGAGCCAAGCCCTCACCCCACAAGGGGCAGGTGGGGGCTTGGTTGCTGACCCGGCCCAAGTCCCCACAGAGCACCTTCTGTAGCTCCAGCTTGTCTCCCTGGCTTCTCTTTGAAGGAGAAAAATGTAAAATATGCACTGAGAAAGCCAGCCCCGCCTGCTTAGTCAGCCCCGGCAGCAGGGCAGCCATGGGAACTCAGGAAAAGCAGGAACCCTTTCCAAAAGCCCAGAGATGCCCTGGGCTCAGATCTGTAATTCTCCCAGGAGCTGTGATAGAGCAGGCCACACAAAGTCCCTACGCCTCCCTGCTGCCTCCCCCAGATGCATGTGGTGGCATCACCATTCCCCAAATTGAATATCAGCATGCGGCCTGACCAGGGACTCTTTAGATGCATGAATTTATTTATATGAAGGCTCTCACAGAGACACACACAGCACTTCAGTAGCATTTGCATTCCTGGTTAAAGAATCACCAATATTTAAAATAAAAACTTTCCTGAAATTGGGACTGTCATGTTATCCAGAAGGGCTGGTACATCCGCCCACCATGTCCCCCTGCTGGGTCAGGAGCCAACACAGGACCCTGCGTGTGAGCGTGCCTGACATCTCACGCACGGCCACTCCAGAGCCGGTCCCTGTCCTTGGAAAGCTGTGAAGCCTTGCGTTGAGTTCCTTCTCGATACTGACGGCTCCGTGCTGACATTCTGAGCTCTGGAGTCACACCAGCGCAGGGGCGTGGAGGAACTGAGGTTTGGAAGGAATGCCAGGTCTCGCACAGCTTGGCCTCGAGAAGGTGAGAGGAAGGCAAAGGCCAGGGAGGGGACCCAGAGAGGCCTGGCACACAAGGCCCAAGCACCACCGTCAACACAGCCCAGTCCATACAGAAATGGGTTTCATGCCTGAAAAGCTTTTTACAGAAAGATGCCGCCTGTAGCCAGTGACAGCCGCAACCCTACAGGCCTCAGTTCCTTGCAGAGGTGAGGGGTAGAGAGTCAGCCTCCCTCCCTTCCAGCAGCGACCCAGCTTCCCTCCACTTCCAGGTGGTGCTGGGCTCACCGAGGGAGCACTGGTGGGTGCTCTGAAAACCCACAGGATCCCACCTCCAGGCCCACCTGGGTCCCATCTCACTCTCTTCTTCTTTCACCAATTGCTAACATAGACCTTGTTGGGATCACGATGGCTTCACAAGCCAGCTGTTGGGTTTGCTATGTCACTGTGGCTCAGTCACATCCCTGCGTGTATACTGTCTGCGGGGCACATATGTATCCATTTAGAGCTAAAGGAATCAGTGTACACTACAGCTAATCCTAATAAATCCGATGTTTTCGGAATGGCGTCTGTCTGTCCATCACAGTAGCCTCTGACCCTGGATGGCAATCTTCCTTGCTGAGAGCACAGCAGGCCCTTTTTTAGACAGGCTGATCCCTGCCTGAGCCATGCCTGTCACCTGATACCAACTCCAGCAGTGCTTCCCAGCCTCCATCAGCGTGTGTGGAGTTTATCTTCTCCCATCCACGCTTGGAGCAGATTTCTAAACACACACATCCTCTCGCAGACCCTGCCCCGCCACTGGGGAGGACGGAGCCCAGGCCACCCTCCCCGTGCCAGCTTCAGGTGGCTTGTGCTTTCTCCAGGGCCCCATATAGATGCCAAACCCATCCCCACACAAGCTGGGCTCTGTCCGGACTCAGCCCTCCCTCCTCAGCATAGGGAACCCGGCCTCCTGCTGCTGGGCATCCTCCAGCCCCTCTCCATTCTATACCCACACGTGGCCCAGCCACTCTCCTCCTAAGTGTGGCCAGGATTATATGGCTTCCTTCCAGCTGCACAGCTGTCACCAGCGTCTGAGGGATGGCAGCAGCAGCCTCCTTGGCAGGCCCCGCTTTCTCTCCTGCACCCAGTCTGTTTCCACACGGAGGCGAGAGGGCTGTTAAAGTATGAGTCAGACTGTGGCCCTTCTCTGCTTAACATCCTCCGGTGACTACCATCTCACCTAAATAAAGGCCACGGTTCTTGCTGAGGCCTATAGGTGCTGGGCCTTTGGCCTCCTTGCCTCCCCTCTCCCCATCCTCCACATCCACTCAGTCCTCACCATGCCAGCCTCCTCACGGGCTGTCTTCTCAGTGAGGCCCTCCCCCAGGTGCTGCCCTGCCTTCTCCTCCTCCAGCACACTTGTTGACATCTGACATGACAGATCTTCTGCTTGTCTGCTTGGTAGCACTCTGTCCCCTCCCTTGTGAGCTGCAAAAGGGCATATCCCTGCACTACACCTCTGCCTGCTTCCCAGAGGGTCCCTGGAAAGGCCTGCCTGATAGGGCAGGGAGGGAAGGAGTGGGTGAGTGAGTGAATGAATGAGTGAGTGATGGAATGATGTGTTCTCTTTATCCTCTCTCTCAGGAGGAGCCAAACCCCCATCCCATGCAGGGCAGGTGAAGGCTCAGGTGCTGAGCCCAGGTCCCCACAGAGAGCGCCTACCATAGCCCCATATTATCTCTCTGGTTTCTCTTTGAAGGAGAAAAATGTAAAAAGTGCACTGACATGAGTGAGTGAGGGACTGTGCAAGTGAGTGAATGAATGAGTGAGAAAATGAATGCATGATGGATTGAATGAGTGAGGAAATGAGTGAGTGAATGAATGAGCAAGGGAATGAATGAATAAGTGAGTGAATGAATGAGGGAATAAGTGAGTGAGGGAATGAGGGAGTGAATGAATGAGCAAGGGAATGAATGAGGAAATTAGTGAATGAATGACTGAGGAAATGAGTGAGTGAGAAGAATGAGTAAGTGAATGGGGATGAATGAATGAAGGAATAAGTGGTGAGGGAATGAGAATGGATGAATGACGAAAGGAGTGAATGAATGAGGGAAATGAATGAGGGAAGGAATTAATGAATGAAGGAATGAGTGAGAATGAGTGGGGATGAATGAAGGAATGAGTGATGAGGGAGTGAGTGAGAATGGATGAGTGTGGGTATGAATGAGTGAGATCATGAGTGAATGAGGGGATGAATGAATGAAGGAACAAGAGTGAGGGAATGAGTGAGA
The DNA here is from genome assembly GCF_000001405.40 of Homo sapiens. NCBI lineage: Eukaryota > Metazoa > Chordata > Mammalia > Primates > Hominidae > Homo > Homo sapiens. The sequence continues at coordinate 127,687,352 of NC_000003.12, read as the reverse complement.
AAATGAATGAGTGAGGGAATGAGTGAGAGAATGGATGAATGAGGGAATGAGTGATGAGTGAATGAATGAGGGAATGAGTGAGTGAGGAAATGAGTGAATGAATGAAAGCGAATGAGGGGATGAATTGAGGGAATGAGTGGGTGAGGAAATGACTGATGAATGACTGAGAGAATGAATGAGTGAGGGAATGAATAAGTGAAGAAATAGAATAAATAAGTGAATGAGTGAGGGGATGAATAAATGAGGGAATGGGTGAGTGAGGGAATGTGTGATGAGGGAATGGATGGATGAGGAAATGAGTGAGAGAATGAAGGAATGAGTGAACGAGTGAGTGAGAGAATGGATGAGTAAGGAAATGAGTGAGAGAATGAATGAATGAACGAGTGAGAGAATGGATGAGTGAGGAAATGAGTGAATGAATGGATGAGTGAAGGGATGAATGAATGAGGGAATGAGTGGGTGAATGAATGGATGAGTGAATGAGTGGGGGATGAATAAATGAGAGAATGAGTGAGTGAATGAGGGAATGAGTGAGGGGATGAATGAATGAAGGAATGAGTGGTGAGGGAATCAGAATGGATAAGTTAGGGAATGAATGAGGAAAGGAGTGAGAAAATGAATGAATGAATGAGGGAGGGAATTAATAAATGAAGGAATGACTGAGGAAATGAGAGAATGAATGAAGGAATGAGTGATGAGGGAATGAGTGAGAATGGATGAGGGAATGAATGAGTGAGAGCATGAGTGAACAAGGGGATGAATGAATGAAGGAACAAGAATGAGGGAATGAGAGAAAATGAATGAGTGAGGGAATGAGAGACAAGTGAATGAATGAGGGATGAGTGAGTGAGGAAATGGGTGAATGAATGAAAATGAATGAGGGGATGAACTGAGGAAATGAGTGGGTGAGGAAATGAGTGATGAATGAGATAATGGATGAGTAAGGGAATGAATGAGCAAGTGAAGACATGAGAGAATAAATGGGTGAATGAGTGAGGGGATGAATAAATGAGGGAATGAGTGAGGGAATGTGTGATGAGGGAATGGATGGGTGAGGAAGTGAGTGAGAGAATGAATGAATGGGTGAATGAGTGAGAGAATGGATGAGTGAGGAAATGAGTGAAAGAATGAGTGAATGAGTGAGGCGATGAATAAATGAGGGAATGAGTGAGAGAATGAATGGATGAGTGAATGAGTGAGGGGATGAATAAATAAGTGAGAATTGAGAGAATGAATGAATGAGAATGAATGAGGGGATGAATGAATGAGGGGATGAATGAATGAGGGAATGAGTGAGCGTGGGAATGTGTGATGAGGGAATGAATGAGAGGAAATAAGAGAATGATGAGTTAGTGAATGAGTGAGAGGATGAATAAATGAGAGAATGAGTGAGAGAGAATGAATGAGGGAATGAGTGAGGGGATGAAAGAATCAGAGAATGGATGAGTCCATGAGTGAGGGGATGAATAAATGAGGAAATGAGTGAGCGAGAGAATGGTTGAGTGAGGGAGTGATGAAGGAATGAATGAGTGGCCAAGGGAGGGAGAGAGGGATGGAAAGAGGGAGGAAGGAGGCAGGAAGGCTTTATCTGAGCCAGGCACTGAGCTGGGAACTGGGTGTGGAAGCAGGGTTGGCCTCGCAGCCTGGCCACCCATGCAGAGGCCCAGACCCCACCCTAGAAGGTCCGTGCGTTTGGGTGAGTGCTCTACTGTTGCTCTCTGGAAATTCTTAATGCTCTTTGAGCAAGGTCCCCACGTGCTGTTTTGCACTGGACCCTGCAAACCACTCAGGCCCTGGGTGGGTGGCACCTGGCCTCTGTGCAGAAGGTCCCCCAAAGGTGTGCAGACCTGAAGGACAGCCCGTTCTCTCCACGTCCTCATGCTCTACTTATGGCCAACCAAATTCTGCCTGGAACTTCACTGTATCAAACCTAGAGCCAACAATGTTTGCATTTGTTGGCTTTTCCAGCCTCCTCCATGAACACTCAGGCTCATCACAAGCCCCTTACTGGGCACCTGTGATGCTCCAGGCACGGTGTCCAGCGCTGGGAGGAACCCAGCGCTGCACGGTGACCAGGGCAGAACAAGGTGGGCCGCCCTCACAGAACAAGGACCCCGGGCGACATGGACTCCCACCCCAGAGCCTAACAGCGATGGGCACCCAGTGTCCGCCAGCACAGCCTGGGGCCAGCACAGCCCTCCAGAAGCCAAAGGTGAGCAGGAGCGGGCCGGGGTTGGGGGCACAGCAGAGGGGTCTGCGGGGGAGTTTTCGAGGTGCAGAGAGCTCAGGGCGGCCCCAAAACTGAGAGACTCTCAGGATGGCTGGAGCACAGGTGTGAAGGGCATGGTCATTCGGGGCCCTGCAGGAAACAGCTGCACCTAACCAAGGGTGGTGTCACTAAAGGGGTCAGCAGCAGATGATGCAGCGTCCAAGACCAGCCACAGCAGGGAGCAGACCCTCAGAGCAGCAGTTGCTGCGGGAGAGGACCACCTGTCGGTTGGGGGCTTTAGGTAGAGGGTTGCCCAGCCCCACCTTCACTCTTCTTCCTCTTCTGGTGGGTCAACAAGCCATCCCTATACTACCTTTCCTGTGCAAAATGGAGTTTATTTCCTTTCCATCATTGCTCATTTTGTCATTGTCCAGTTGATTTTTCTTTTTTTTTTTCTGAGACAGCGTCTCACTCTGTTGCCCAGGCTGGAGTGCAGTGGTGCAGTCACAGCTCACTGCAGCCTCAACCTCCTGGGTTCAAGCTACCTTCCCACCTCAGCCTCTAGAGTAGCTGGGACTACAGGCTCGCGCCACCACACCCGGCTAATTTTTTATTTTTTGGAAAGACAGAGTCTCAGTGTGCTGCCCAGGCTGGTCTCAAACTCCTGCGCTCAGACCATCCTCCTGCCTCAGCCTCCCAAAGTGCTGGGATTACAGGCGTGAACCACCAGTCTATTTTTCTGTCTGTTAAAAATTTGTGGGTATCTTGAGTTGGGAGAGAATACATATAATTTTTCCAATAACACATGATGAAAATATTTTTCATTCAACAATAAAATTTTTTTTTCACCTGGGAGTGGGAATGAATTAAAGAGATAAACATGTTTTGTTTTATTTTTAATTTTAAAGGTAGCACAGCTACATTACAGAAACTAAACAGAAATCAGATCAAATATCCCCAGCTCTCACGCAGCAACTCTTCCTCTGGTTTAGGGATGATGGAGGAGTCTCAAACCCAGGGCCTCTGTGTCAAAATGTGTCTTCTATTAGTCTATTTTAACATTTGTCAGAGTAGAGCACACTTCTGAATTTAAATCAACCCAATTTTAGAACCAAGTATTAGACACTAAATTTCAAATTCCATGGTTGTAGTTCACTACTCCTGTGTGGCTGTCTGTGCTACAGGTTTCTCACATAAGCCTGGGGAGCACCCCCTAGTGCCTGAATGTCCTCCACCTTTTCCTTGTGGACACAGAAGCTTCACTGACCACCCTCGTAGTTACAGGAAGCTCTGCGCATCCATGCTCTCTGTTCCTTCCCCACTTGCTGCTCGCTGCGGCTGCTGGCAATGCTTCCTGTTGATTTGCAATACCGCATTGGACACCTTCCTACATAAGTGTTTCCCCATCGCGCTGTCTTCTCTGCCTGAGGCTAAAGTGAGGAATGGGGCCGGGTGCAGTGGCTCATGCCTGTAATCCCAGCACTTTGGGAGGCTGAGGCGGGCGGATCACTTGAGGTCAGGAGTTCGAGACCACCCTGGCCAGCATGGTGAAACAATGTCTCTACTAAAAATATGAAAATTAGCTGGGCATGGTGGTGGGCGCCTGTAGCCCCAGCTACTCTGGAGGCTGAGGCACGAGAATCATTTGAACCTGGGAGATAAAGGTTGCAGTGAGCCGAGATCACACCACTGTATTCCAGCCTGGGTAAAAGGGCTAGACTCCGTCTCAAAAAAATAAAATAAAATAAAATAAAATAATAAAATAAAATAAAGTGAGAAATGGTGTGGTGTGGCTGGGGAATGCTGCCCCAACAACCACACAGCCTAGTTCCTGAGGGGTGGCAGTTCTCAGACTGCAGCTCTCCCTGAACAGGTGCCATAGCTGGTACACCTGGCTGTATGTATCTGCTGTATCAGTGAACCACTAAAATACCAACTCCAGATAATTTTTCCTTAAACTGCCCTCTTACTAGGGTTTTATTTAAAATTTGTTCAAGATTGGAAACTTTATGATTTCAAATAATAACATCTGTAAAAAAAGGTTTCATGTAGTAGCTCATTTTCTCCCCTAATGCATATGAAAAGAAATGCATAGGAATTAAAATTTTTTATTTAAATATTTAAATCTCTCTTGGCACACCAGGATTTGTGTGTGCTCTGAGGTGAGACCTGCTGGTGTTAGGCCACTAGCCTGGCCTCACTCTTCCCTTCCTGTGTGCCCCAGGGCAACCGGAGTGAGCCCCTGTCACTCCCGTGCTCCCACCTCCCACCCACCAGGTGGACTCAGCCTTTGTTTAACACACCAGGCTCAGGATAGGTCAAACACTAGGTAAGAGGGAGTTGCCATAATCACCCCCAGTTTGTGGGCGGGCAAACAGGCAGAGCGGTGGCCAGCAGTGAAAGGCAGACCCACGGTGGGGTTGGTCCTCTGGCCGCAGCTCAGCTCTGGCAATGCGCAGACCCCCGCCAGCCCATCCCATCTCAGGCTGTTTTCAGGATCCCAGGCCCTTGCACAAACTACAATCTCCACCCACAGGCCCTACCCAGGACACCTCCCCAACACACTCATCACCTCCTGCAGGCTGCACCATGACTTGTCCCAGCTGATCCCTCACTAGTGGTCACTTCAGACCTACAACTTCCCCCATGTGACGACCAACATGCCAGTGCAACATGGCTGAAAATGCACTGGGGAGGAAAAAGGGAAAAAATCCAAAAATACCATAGTAAAAAGGCATGAAGAGGCCGGGCATGGTGGCTCACACCTGTAATCCCAACACTTTGTGGGGCCAAGGCAGGCGGATCACCTGAGGTTAGGAGTTCAAGCTCAGCCTGGCCAACAGGGCGAAACCCTGTGTCCACTAAAAATACAAAAATTAGCCGGGCATGGTGGTGTGCACCTGTAATCCCAGCTACTCAGGAGGCTGAGCAGAATTGCTTGAACTCGGGAGGTGGAGGTTGCAGTGAGCCAAGCAAGATCGCACCACTGCACTCCAGCCTGGGCGACAGAGCGAGAATCCGTCTGAAAAGAAAAAAAAAAAAAAAAAGCATGAACAGCTGTGAAATAACTGCAGGGAGGGTGGAGACACCCGATATTAGAAGCCCTGTGAAAGAACCAGCCTTCCTTTCCTCCCCCAGGGCCATGACACGACACTGAGTTTAACCAGGTTAGAAGGCAGAGGCCTGGTGGGGGGGCGGTCCACAGGCCTGCAGCTCATCGTGAGAAACCCCCTTGGGGCTCAAATACCCCAAAATGAAGACCCAAGCAACAACCTCAGAAGCAGGAGCTTCTCTCTGAACTTTTGCCCCCTTCTCTCAGTCTCATCATCCCGAGGCTAGCCACAGAAACTAGAATCCCTCTTCCCCTAGGCGGGCCCTAGAAACCAGAGCCCCCTTTCCCCAAAGCCAGCCATAAAACCTAAAAACAGGACTCTCACTTTCCCTCTGCCGTATCTGTGTAAAAACTGGCCATAAAGTAATAATCTGATCCACCTTGTTTGACTATAGGTCATAAGACCCCCATTCCAGAGGGTCCTGCCCCACACCCAGAAGGTAGGCAGGCAGGCTGCTCAGAGAGACCAAGAAGAATCTAGACAGGCCTGGCTGCATTTCCCTGTTCAGTCAGCATAGGATCCTGCACTTTTTGCCAATCCCATTTCTACTCGGCTGGCCACACTTTGCTGAGCCTAAGCCTAACAATGGACAGCTTCCCATCTTTGGGTCTTCATTCTGAAGACGCCCATGTCTACATGCTAAATAAATTTGCGTGTCTTTTCTCCTGTTACTCTGCCTTTTGCAAGTTAATTTTTCAGTGAACCTTCAGAGGGCCAAGGAGAAAGGTCTCCCTTGGCCCCTGCAGCTTACCTTCCCATAATAAGGTAGCAGCCCCTGCAGGAAGGGCCACAAGGTCCTCCCTGGGGAAAAGACTGGCACTGGGCTGACAGAAAATGGTCATTTTGGTCCTGGCCCTCTCCTAGAATGAGGCCCACCACAACCAGCATCCATGGAGACAGGGAGGCAGGGAGCCAGGATGGGCCCAGGCCACACTGGGGTCAGTGGCAGATCTCTAGGTCTGCTCAGCCAGGTACCCTGGCCCTTGGGCTCTGGGCCAGCCTCTGCTGGGAGCCCCCAACTCTAGAGCTTCTTTCCTTGGTCACACCAGCTCCACTGGCTCCAGAAGGCCCCACCCTTCCCAAGCTGTACCCCAGGACACAGGCTCATGCTCCCACGGTGCCTTCAAGCTTTATTGCCACACACACTCCCCCAGCCCTTCCTGAATGGCCCTGTGCATGGGAACACCAGCTTAGAGAAGCAATTCAGGGCTAGGCAAGGGCCAGAGGACTGGATTTGGGACTGGGGTGGGTAGGGGGGATCTGGAGAAGGAAAGTGCTAAGACCAAAGCCCACCCCCACCCCAGGTTTCCCTGAGTGGTGTCCACCCCCAGGGTCTTGGGGGCTGGCTTGTGCATTGGGGGGAGGGGGCTCATCCCAAATGGATCCTCCCCTGGGGTCTCCAGGCTCATGGAGGGAAGAGAAGCCCCACTGAGCCCCTCGCACCCCCCATGAAGCCCTCAATGTGCAGGGAGCAGGAAGAAGAGCTGCACACAAACGCATACACATGCTTGTCTCCAAGAGAGCTCCTGGCCCCTGGGGCTGCCCAGCCAGGGGCTCAACAGTCCAGACCGATGGACACGAGCAGGTCCTCGAGTGCCCGCAGACGCTGCTGCGCCTCCTCTATGGCGCTGTAGGTCTGCACCGTGCTGGCCACGTGGAAGCGGATGTCGTCCACCAGCGGGATAGAGTCCGTCTCCTGCCGGGCTGCCACAGCCGCTGCCTCCTCCTTCACCGCCTCCACGAAGTCCTCCCGCTCCACCAGCTATGAGCGGGAAGGGCCAGCTCAGTGGAGGGGTGCCTGCCCTCTCACCCCTCCTTCCCACCCACTGCAGACCACTGGCCCACCTTCTCAATGACCTTGGCCATGTACTCAGTGCACTGGTCCTCAAGCCGCGCCAGGCGGAAGAGCTTGGCCACGCGCCACACACCCACCACAGTGTCCTCGTCTAGCATCTGAGCCAGGCTGCGGCCGCACAGCCTCTTCAGGCCTGGCAGCAGGTACATGTCGGCGACGCTCAGCACATCATAGGCTGCCTCGGGGGACAGCTGCAGTGAAGACAGGGATGAAGGTGCCCCCCGAGGTCACCAAGGGCTCCCAGGGCACAACAGCCAAGGCTAGGGCCTGTGGTGGTTGGGGGGCACTGGCGGGAAGGCTTCCAGTGGGAGTAGGAGCTCCCTGCGCATGTATGGGGTTGGGGGTCGGGGGGCTGGCCCAGATTCCCACAGGGATCTGCAGGACCGCTAGGGGGCAGAAGACTGGGGGGTTCTCCCATGCCCTGAGCAGGCTGGCAGGGCAGGCGGGAGGCAGGGCCCTCGCAGGAGCCAGGGTCTGAGCTCCGAGTTATACAGACCTGGGTCTGACACTTCTAGCTGTGGGGCCCTGGGCAAGTCACTGCACCTCCCTGTGCCTCTAGTTCCCAGTCCATGAGGTATAGATAACCATGCCTACCTGCGGGGGCTGTCAGAATGGTGGGACAGAGGCAGCTAGTCAAGACCTATGCAGGGACTCTGCCAGGGGTGGGAGACTATCTACCAGCTCCCTCCCTCTCAAGAGGCTGTGGGGACACAGAGCCCACCTACAGATACATCCTGTGCTGGATAAGACTGAAGCCCTCAGATTCAGGCCAGAGCCTGGGTGGCACAGGGAGCAAGCTGCAGACAGAGACAAGGGGAGCTCTGCGACCACATTACAAGCCATGTGCCATGTGCCATGCCACCTCCTTTACCTGGGTAACCCATGCATCTGCACAAGGCCTTAGGAAGTGACGACGAGAGCTATCCCCATGTTCTAGAGGCACAGAGCAGTTAAGTAACTGGCCCAAGATCACAAAGCTCACCCAGTGTCACACAGCTCAACCAGTATCAACCCAGGTTAAGAGCCCAAGCCACACTCTGAGACAAGGTGCCCTTTGGGTGGCGAGGCTCCTTGAAGAGGGAGCTTCTCCAGGGTGGGCAAAGGTAACCCCTGCTACAGGGGCCAGAGAGCTGGGCTGAGCTGCAGGAGATGCCCAGTAGAGGGGGTGGGAAAGATGGAGGCTGAGGGGCTGTCAGGCCGCGCGGAGGGATGGACAAGGGAGCTGCCACTGGAGATAGAGCAGCAGTAGGGACTGCCCTCTGTCTCCCAGCATGCTTCCTCCCCTTCCCCCACAAAACAGGGCCCTGGCCACAGAATGACTTTCCAAGCCTCCCTTGTTGGCAGGTAGGCACGAAGTTCTCTCCAGGGGAACATGAGAAGTGGTGCAATTTCCGGTGGCTTCTACAAAAACAGCATTGCTTGCCCTGCCTTCCTCTTCCTCCTAGAGCATGAGTTTGCCTAGGACCCAATCTCCATGGCCAAACGCGATGCCCCAGGCAGGATGGGTAAGCTACGGCCTGTGGACCAAATCCAGCCTGTTTGTGCAAGTAAAGTTTTATTGGAATGCAGCCTCACCCACTCATCTCTGTACTGTCTCTGGCTACCTTTGCGCTACAGAGTTGAGTAGCTACAACAGGGCCATATGGCCCACAGAACCTGAAACACTCACCTTCAGAGAAAAGGTTTTTGACCTTCACCCTTAGGCATACAGGGGCAAGATGGAGGGATGACCTGATCTTCCGCAAGCCACTTGCCCTGGGGCACCCACCTCAGTCAGAAGTGAAGGAGAAACAAACTCCCCTCTTCTTTAAGCCACCAGATATGGGGATTGCTTTATAGTGCGCGCGCACGCGCACGCACACACACACTCTCTCTCTCTCTCACACACCCTGGCAGAGCAAACCTTCAGCACTCTGCTGCTGCCCTGCAGCCTTGGCTTACGGACACCTTGGGGCAGCTGGAGACAGAGGCAGGCAGCAAGGGAAGAGGAGACTGGGAACCCAGAACCCCAGGGATCTGCAGCACCACAGAGAGGAGGCTGTCCCCACCCACCCTCCACCCTCCTGCTAGAGAAGCTGAGGATCCCAAGTGGCTGACAAGTGTGGAGTGTCTGTGACACAGGCTCATCACTCATCCTCTCTCTGGAGCCCAACAAGGCTTCCTCTACCTGAAAGAAAAATCCAAAGTCCCACAGCCTTCCCCTCCAGCCTTCTCAAAACGTCAACCATGGGGCCAGCTGGGCCCTTCCACAGACCCCCAGGGCCCTGGCGCTCCCTCTCAGCCCACGGCAGCACAGGTTGTGTGCCATCCCCAGCTCTGCCTGAGCCCCCACCTCAGTGTGGTCGCTGTACATGTAGTAGAGCACGTGAGTGAAGACGTCGGGTGAGATGCCATGCAGGGTGACGGCTGGGGGGCCCCCTGAGGTCGCTGGCTCCTCGCTCTCTCGGAAGTGGTCATCCAGCAGGGCTCGGAAGTAGTCACTGCGGCCACAGAAAAAGGCCTGGGGGAGGCCGGGCTCAGGAAGTGTGAGGGCCAGGGTCTGTCTCCTGAGGAGCTAGACGGGGGCTCAGGGCAACGGGCTGGGGCCAGGGGCAACAGGAGGGCACAGGCACCTTGTGGCAGAGGAAGCTGCAGCCAGCCACTCGGAAGCAGATGTCAGGGCAGCTGTTGAAGCCGTCAGGACAAGGGAAGGGCAGCTCCCAAAGATCACCCTGGGGTACAGAAGAGGTGACCCCATCAGAGCAGTTGTTCACAGAAGTGAACGACTAGGTTCAGAAAAGGGAAGTAACTGGTCCAGGACCACACAAGGAATTGAGCCCAAGTATCTGGGCTGCCTGTCACGGCCTGCCATCCCAAAACGCCCTTCCTGCCCACCAGCCCCGCACTTACTCGGAGCTCGGGGGGCAGGGCACAATCGGCCAGCAGCGCCATGTCCTCCCGGAGGCGGGGGTCTGCAGGTGGGGGCTCGATGGTCAGCACCTTCACACACGTGCCTGGCTTAGACGCCACTACAGGGGAAGAACAACTTCAGGGAGCCAGGCCAGCCCTGCCAGGCCGCACCCATGGCCCCGGGCCCCAAACCCTGCTCGCACCAAACTCAGACACCTTCTCGCACTTGGCCTCCAGGTCGCTGAGCAGGTCCCACAGCTGGCATTGCTTGGCCAGGCGCTCACAGTCACTCACATGCTCTACGCCAATGTCCAGGCGGCCTGGGGGCAGTGGGGAGGATGAGGGCCTGCGGGACCTCAGCTGTCATCAGGCCCACAGAAAAAGGGTGATCCCCTCCCACCTGGCCACCTGGCTGCAGGACTAGGACTCCTGGGCCCACTTGCCACCATGGTTTCCCCATCAAAAGCTGTTCTACAGGCCCCAGGGAACAGATGGGAGGGCCTCAGCATGTGGGTGGGACAAGCTCTTCCTGAGCAGGCACACTAGTCCTCTCTCTTGCAACCCAACCCGAGAGGCAGCTGGAACCACCCCGGGGGGACCATGAAGTGTCTAGAGGTGAAAGGTCAGCCCAGCCACACCTAGGTGTACTGCTGTCCAGAAGGACGGCCCACTCCCTCTCCTCCTACCCTGGACCCAGGGGGTCACCTGTGTACAGGTACTGCAGCAGGGCCCCAAAGGCCACGGGGTTGATCTGTGGGCAGAAAACCAGAAAGTAATGTCAGAGGCAGCCACCCAGCACAACCTCCTGCTGTTCCTGGACAGTTCATGCCCCTCTGCCACCCTGAAGGGACATACCAGTGGGTGCCTGAGAACCACGACACTCTTGCCCTTCCATTTGGTGTCCAGCATGTTGGCAAAGTAGGCACTACGTGCACCCAGGACGCAGCGATGCACCCGGAATGGCTTCCCGTGTACTACAAAGACCACGTCACTGTGGATGCCCTGCTCTAGAAGCCTGGGGAGGGACAAGCCAGGAGGGAGGATACTTGGCACAGCCCCACCCCATTCCTCGGAGCACTCAGAACCCAGTGCAGGCCACAGTCAGAGCAGACTCGCCACACCCACCAGGGCCACCGCACCCCATGCTGCACCCCTCGTGTGCCCTGGCTCACCGCTGCAAGAAGTCGTCATAGTAATCCCGCCTCCTGCAGGAAGCCGTGACCTGCTTGTAATCGCGTAGAGCCCGGCGGATGGGGTCACTCAGTGCCCCATAGAGGCAGCGCTCACCATCGAAGGTGTTGGCCTCGCAGCGGGCTCCTGGGGGAGGCAGGGCTCACCAGTTAGCAGGGAAGGGGCCTGGGGGAAATTCTAATCTCCCTGTCCCTCCTCCCCACCTTCCCACACATGGGGCTCCGAATCTCTGGCGATGCCTTCCCAAATTACCCTGGGCCCACTCTGACCCCAACACCCTCCCAGTCAAGGGCTAGGCGAATGGGCACGTCTGTGTGCACTCACACAGGCACATACTCACTCACACGGAAGACAGACAACACAGAACGGAGAGCTGACTTGGTGGCTGGGCTTGTCCCACACACTGGAGCACAGCAGTGAACGAGACACAGGTCCCTGTCCTGCTGAACTTATACTCTAGTGAGGCAGGACAATCAACCCACTACCTAACGATGGCAGGGACTATTAAGAAAAACAAGCCTGGGCGTGGCAGCTCACACCTATAATCCAGGCACTTTGCGAGACCAAGGTAGGTGGATCACTTGGGCTCAGGAGTTTGAGACCAACCTGGGCAACATAGTGAGACACCATCTCTGCAAAAAAAATACAAAAACTTGCCGGGCGTGGTGGTGCACGCCTGTAGTCTCAGCTATTTGAAGATTTGAAGGGGCTGAGGCAGGAGGATCACTTGAGCCTGGGAGGTTAAGGCTGCAGTGAACCGAGATCACACTACTACACTCCAGCCTGGGTGACAGAGCAAGACTCTGTCTCCAAAAAAAAAAAAAAAAAAAAGAAAAAACCAAAATAGGAAGAAGAATGGCACTGAATGAAGGGAAGTCATGAAAGGTCACTCTGTAATGGTGGCAGCATGCAGAGACCTGAATGAAGGGGGAGTGGGCCATGTGAACGTTTGCAGAACGGCAGTCCATGCAGGAGGAACTGCAGGTGCAAAGGCCCTGGGGCAGGAACAGGGGCATGCATAGCACAGTGGAGCCCCAGCGAGGCCAGTGTAGCAGCAAGCAAGCAGCAAGCAAGCAGGGAGAGCCGAAGGAATGAGGCCAGTGGGAGGGCAGACCCTGTGGAGCCTTGGGCATGGCCAGGCAGGCTCACTGTATCCTAGAGGCAATGGGAACTTGCTGGAGGATTTTTAGCCGATCAGATTCATTGTGAAAAGATCAACTTGGCTGCAATGGCAAGAGAGAGGCAGGCACCGTGTCCGGGGAGAAATGCTGATGACTGGGCCCAGGTCGTAGAAGTAGAGATGGGCAAGGTGGACAGAGAAAAGGTTTTAAAGTAGCAATAATAGTACTTGCTGATTCGACTGGGTGGTAAGAGAGGAATCGTGGTGCTTTGCAAATGTGTATCAAGGCCTTTGAATGCACGCACGCATGCATGCACCCACACGCACACATGCATGCACCCACGCACACCCGTGAGCCGGGCTCCCTGCTCTCACCATTGGCCAGAAGGTAGAGTACCAGCTCCTCGTGCCCACACAAGCAGGCATAGTACCTGAAGGGAGGAAGGAAGTACAGGAGGCAGTCCTCAGTGCTGAAGGGGTGCACCAACCCCCACCCTCCCCACCCCTCTCTCCAGCACTCACAAGGGGGTGCTGTCCCACTTGTCCCGCACATTCACCTCCACGTCTCGCTGCTCCAGCAGGTACCTGGGCAGGAAGGAGGTCAGAGCCTGGGTCAGGACGGGTTCATGGTCTGAGAAAGAAGGCCCGTGGAAAGGAACGGAGAGAAAACATCCCTTTTGGTATGGGGAAGCCTCCCCCAGGTGAGGGCAGGTGACAGGCAGACCAGAGCAGGAGAGGCACTCAAGGCAAAGTGCAGGCAAGGATGTGGAGGTGGGGTCGAACAGGCAGACACTGTGTGCTATCAGTGCTGGGGGACGATGGGCTACAGGGACAGAAGCCAGAGCCAGTGCCGAGGCTGGACCTTTGGCCTTTCAGCGTTTGGGAGAGGAGGTGATGGAGCCTTCACTCCCACCAGAGCTCTCTACTGCAGGAAGAAGCTGGCCCTGTTAGAAGCAGGGAGCCCGGGAAAAAGCTGCTGCAGGCCTCCTGATGGTGTGGAGGGCACACAATTCTAGGAGGCAGGAGTCGCGGGATACAGCAACTGATGGGATGCGGAAGGTGAGCGAGGGGAGTCGCCAATGCTAATGCAGCCCCACTGAGGCGGGGGCAGCCCAAAGGAGGCCTCCAGGCTGCACCTGGAAGTGCTGTGAACCCACTCAGCGTTGACACTATGCACTAACTCTTGAGTGGCACGGGATGTCAGGGAGCGGCCCAGGGAGGCTACGGGAGTACAGCAGCCCGGCGCCAGCCCAGGGGAGGTGGAAGCAGTCAGTCAGCACCAGGTCAAGGGGGAGGAAGGGCCAAGAAAAAAGGAGGTCAAACGGGATAGTGGAAGCCCAAGGAGGGGAAGGGCCCCAGAACCCAACTGGGCACCCCTTCCCTCCGCGTCCGGCCCATGGAGGGGGCATCTCAGCGCCAGATTCACTTTAGCTGCGTCAGGAGTTTCCGAATCCTCAGGGACCGGAGGCCGATTATGGGCTCTAGGTGTTCCCCGCGCCAGGTCCAGAGAGCACGAGAGAAAGGGGCCACGTCTGGAGTCCCAGGCCTATACCCGCGCCCTGCGCCCGGGGGGTCTGACGTCCGGGCCCTACCAGGGCGAACAGTGGCCCGCCTTCTCTCCGCCCACTTCTGCGCCTTCGGGCCTCCGCTGAGCAGTCCCTTCTTACAGGAAGCCCTCCGGGGGTCAATGGCCATCAGTGTCCCCGCCCCAGCGCGCTTCCGCTGGGGGGCTGCGGCGGGGGTCCGGGTGGTCTGCCCCGCGGGGGCGCTCCGAGGGCTGTGACCCGGCAGAGGCGCCCGCCTCTCCGCGGCCGCCCAGCCGCCCGTCCCAGGGCCCGAGGCGTTCCGAGGGCGGCCACCTCCCGCACCCTCCCCGGGACTGCGAGGTCCTCACCGCACTCGGCCCACATCCCCCTTCCTGCAGCTGGCGAACAGGTCGCTGGTGTCCATGGCGCGGAGGATGGTACCCGAGCCGAACGACCTCGGGCGGCGAAGCCGCGCACCCGGCGGATGTAAACACGCTCAGCCCCGCCCCGCCCCGCTCTGCAGCGGCGTCCGGAGGACCCGCCCGCCCCGGCCTCCCCGCCCCGCGGCCCCGCCCCTGCCCCGGGGTGCCCCGCCCGCCCCGCCCCGCCCCAACCCCGGAAATAAGAATGAGTCAAGAAGGCAGACGCGCTGGGCCCGGCGTGGTCTCCGGGCGGGTTTAATTGAGTCCCGGGGCGCAGGAAGCGCCGCCCGCCGCCCGCGGGGCCGGGGTTCAGGGGCGGGAAAGCGGGGCCAAGGCGGGCTTTGAGGCCTGCCCCTCGGGCGGGAGTGAGGGAGTTGGTCCGAAGCCGCCGTGTGAAGTCGGGGGAAGCGGGAAGGAGCCCGCGCCGAGGGCCAGGCCGCGGGGGCGGCCCGGGTAGGCGCGGGGCTGGTGCGGGCTCCGGGCCGTCCGTTTCGGGGTCCACCTCGCTTGGTCCTGGCGGCCCACTCGGCCTGCGCCTCGGCTGCGCTCACAGGTGCGTGTCCTCCTCGAACACGTCCGAGTCCTCGGGGTCCCGCTTGCCCCCCATGAGCGCCCCCCAGCTCCCCGGGCCGTTGAGGGCCCCGCCGCCGTTCAGGCTGGGGTGCTTCTCCTGCATCTCCGACTGGCTGTCGCTGGCCACGTCCAGCGTGGGGTTGTCGTGGCAGCCGTTCTCCACGAAGCGCAGCTCCTCGCCGTGCGACTGAGGCGGGGTGGGGAGAGGCCATGGGCGAGCGAGCCAGCCCCCGGACAGCGCCAGGCCCGCGGCCGTCTGTGCAACCCCACCCAGGGGGTTCCCGCGGCACCCTCCACAGGTGCCAGATCCTTCTTTTCTGTTGCTGCAGCTCAACTCCTTTCTCAAAATAAACCTACTAGTCGTTGGCACTACAAAGCCCCGTGGCCTCCCTGACGTCATCGATCCCCCAACAGCCCCCTAAGAAGACTCCACTTGCGAGGTGGGCAGGGAGCATCGCTAGGGCTCTGCTCGCTTCCTCCTGGGGAGGCCTCTAGGCTGCTGGAGCCTCTCCTTGATCCTTGGGCACCACCAACGCAGGGCCTGCCTCTGGTGAGGTATTCAGGTGCTCAGGCCCTGCAGTGCCTGCGCCGGAAAGGGGCTGGTGGTGCCAGGGAGGGGCCCCCTGGTGGGGCTAGCAGCCCCCTCACTCCCTGCACCTCTGGCACCTGTCCTGGGGCTGGTGCCCTGCAGAGCAGTCAGCAGTGCTAGGCTGACCAGCTGCTTCACCCACGGGACCCTGTGCGCCCAGGAGAGTCACTGCCTCCCCTTGCAGATGAGGACACCTATCGATGGGCACTCTCCTCTCAACTGGCCCCCAGCCCCACCTGTCCCCACACTCACCACGTGCTTGAGCTTGGGCAGCCGGCGCTGCCAGCAGTTGTAGAGCAGGCCAAGCGCAATGATGATGATGCAGATGGCCCCAATGACCACCAGCACCACGAAGAGCGTGCCGTAGTCGCTGCGCACCTGGCTGGCCCGCGCCTGGCAGCTGCTGGTTGTGGAATAGTTCTGGATGCCAATCTAGGGGTGGGAGGGGCCAGTTTCCTCAGCTGAGGTCCTGGGGTGCCATGGCTCCTCTGGGGTGGTTGCATTGGGCTCGGGTGGGGATGGGGGAGCAGGCTTAGAAGGTGCTGGCACTCCCGGCTCCTGAAGTTCCCTGGCGCCTGGGCTTGCCTCTACCCCATGCCCATCCCGTTTGCCTCAGTACACCTGGAGGCCTCTCCACCCCATGCCCATGTTCCCAGCCTCCTTCACATCCCACCATAGCTTCTGCCCCAGCCGCTGAGTCTGAGCTCACTGTGGCCCTAGGCCTCCAGTGAGAGTGGACCCATGCTGCTGGACACCATCCAACTAGAGAGAGTGCCCACACCTATCCTAACTAGTTAGAGAGACAGGAGATGTGAGCCCCCCACACATCCTCCACCATACAACCGCTTCCACCTCGGTGGGGAGGGGTGGACCAGTCAGCTTCCTGATGCCAGGGCCGGTGCAGGGAGGGATACTGAGGGCATGCAGGCCACATGGGGGGCCACCCCGGCTGCCCAGCTTCCTCCCTTCCCATGGCGTGTTCACTGCTGGCATGTAGCTGCCTGCATCCCTCCACGCTGCAGGTTGTCATGGTCAGTCCTGCCTTCTCTGGCCAAGGAGATCGGCGCCAGGGGCCAGGCAGGTGCTATCTCCACAGATCAGCATCTTAGCAGAGAGAAGCAGGAGGGCGAGCACCACCAGGGGCTCCTCAGGTGAGGGATCAGGGCAGTTCCCAGTGCTGAGGCCTAGGTTGCACCAGGCCCCCTTTCTGAGTTCAGGTTGCAGCTCTTCCCCGGTTTCTGTGAACCACCCGTGTATCTCCAGTACTTTTCTCAATTTTTTGTTATCAAGGGTCAGTTTTTCTTGCTAGATTCACCTGAGTATATTTCCAAAGACCCAGCATGACTTTTGGCCAAGTCAGTGTGAATTAAGTGACCAGTAACGCCAGAATACTCAGGGGCAGCGAAAAGCAGGGGGAGGACTGTATAAAAGGTCAAGGTTAGCCCACACTTCCACCAGCAGCCCCACTGTTCATGGACCCACGATTCCAGAACTGGGAAGGGCCTCAGTGGCCCTCCAGGCAGTAGAGCAGTGTGGTGAAAGGCCCGGGCTCCGGAATCAGGCTTCCTGCAAAGCCTGGCTCTACCGCTTACTGCTGGTGCCATCTCAGACAGGTCACCTAACCTCTCCCGCTTCAGCTCTCATCTTCCATGGGGACACCATTGGTACTCAACAGGTGCCTCACTTAACCCTCACAACCCCATGGGGTGGTGGCGAGGACTGAGGGAGAGAGCCTTGCACAGTGTGGTGCTCAGTGGGCATTCGACATGCTCACCAGAAAAGCACCACCACCAGGGCCTCTGCTCCCCTGGCATGCAAGGATGAAGAGGCGGCCAGCATTATACCACTCATCTCTCCTGCCAAAAATGGCAGCACCTTCGGGAGTGGAGAGGGCTGATGACAGGGCACTGGACTCTACAGTGAGCAAAGGCAGTTTTGGTGGAGATGGTGGCTGTCCTCAAGAAGTGAGATGAGGAACAGAAGGACCCCATAGGCAAGGTGGTGTGAGGAGCAGGACTGGGGGACCCTGCCATCCCATCCAAGCTTGTGCGGCAGCTGGGTAGGAGAGGTTGATCGGGATGGGCCAGGCAGCCAGCAGACTGCACTGGGTGGGGGCACCTCCTAAGATGGCAGGGCTGCCTCCTGGCCCCCAGGCGCCGCATCTCACCGCAGCAGGAGCGCAGGGCCTGGCCGTGCAAGCACCAGTAGATTCACACGTCCACGCCAAGTCACATGTCCAGGTCTCCCAGGCTTGCTCTTTTGGTTTCTGGAACCCATCATGCTCGCCCCTCCCACCAGGCAGCATGGTGTCTCTGCCACTGTCTACCCAGAAAACTCCCAGTTAACCCTCACTGCTCCCCAGACCCTTCCTCTCTGGGCCCTCTCCTGACTGTCAGCCTCTTAGCACAGCCCCCACACCCCCATGGCCCCTTTCTGCCCCTGGCCATTGCCTGCATTGGACCTTTGGTTGGTAGCATGCACATGCACCGTCTTTCCCACAAAACCATGTCTAAGGGAGGCCTGAAGCAAGGAACCTGCCCAGAGCACGCTCTGTCTTATACTCCTTTGAACCTCACGATGTGGGCAGACTCCTGGGACTTTGAGGAACAGAGACAGGAGGGAGCATATTAGAAGCTAACAGGTCCAGGTCCCTGCACTCTTACCTCCTCCAGGCTCCTGCGGATGTCACCCAGCATGGAAAGGACATCTTGAGTGGGCACCACCCCTGGGGGGTAAGAAACACCACTATCAGTGTGACCATGGCTGAGGTGCGTGCCCCTCCAAGGGCTCTGGCCCCGCTCTCCAACAGCTGGCCTGAGCCTCTGTCTCCCTTCCTGGCTCAAATTGCACACAGATCCTCAAGGCACATGCCTCCCCCTCTCTTAGACATGCTTTCCACTGCATCGATCTGTTAGAACATCGATTTGTATAACACCAGCCAGCCACTTGCGAAGCCCACACACTGCCTTCTGAACACACCCCTTCTCCCCTGCCACACCAGGTACAGTGTCCATTCATCTCCCACCTGTGCTGGACCACACCTGTTCCCCTGCCTCCTGTTCCCCATCCTTAATTCTCACACCCTCCTCCTTGTCCCCAGAACCCAAGCTGGTGGGTACACCTTGACCACTAAGCTAAGTAGCTCAAACTACTGTCCTGGAGTTCCAAGTTTCAAAGCCCTTATGCGTGCACTTTTTTCCCGTGACCCTCAGGGGCCGCCCGCCTCCCACTGCCCTCCTGGGCCCTCCCATCACCTGCCCTCGCTCACCCTGCTCGCCCACCAGTGTCATGAGAAGGTGCTGCTCCTTCTCGCTGGGCTTGCTCAGAGAGATGTGCCAGGCCCCATGGTGGCCACTGCCATGGCGGGGCAGCACCTCTTCCACCAGGGCCAGGAGCTGTGGCCCCCGGTGCTGCCGGAACACCTCCTACAAGGGCAGAAAGAGCCCCCCGTGTTCAGTGAAGGAAAGGGGCTCTACTGAGCCCTCTGCCTCTAGGCCCAGCCCCGTACTCACCCTCAACCCTCTGGCTGTTCCAAGAGAGGCAGCTCTGGTCAACTCTGGAGACCCTCTGAGAGCTGCAAGCCAGGGAATGTGGGAACCCCAAGATGTACACCCATTTGTTCACTTACACCAGGTGCTCCTTCCTGCCCTGGCCTCTAGCCATGAGAAAGTCAAGGGGCCTGTCCCAGAGACACATGCAGTTGAGCGGGGCGGGGGCTGGGGACACACACACACACACACACACACACACACACACACACACACGCAGCCATGTACAGTGACAAGCCCAGAAACTGGGTACACAGAGTGGTAAGGCCTATGGGAGAACTGCTCCCTGTGCCTAGTGCTCAAGTGCATGGTGCTGGGGATGAACACATGGGCGGGTGGGAGTGGTGATGGCCAAAAGAGGTGTGCACCATGTAACTACCAAAAATCGGGGAGGGCCAGAAGTGGCAGAACGCGGCTCTCCTCTCGCCTGTCATCGCAGAGATGCAGCCCCAAGCTGTTGAGTGGGGAAGCCATCTGTGTGCTCTTGTGTAGGCGGTGGAGGCCAGAAGAGCAAACACAGAGATGGGAACCGCAGCCCCTGGAGCTGGGCTGGAACAGAGGGAGGGGTGTGAGGAGACCTTTTCTCATCGTGCACTCGCTTGTATTGTGAGGTTTTCTTGACCATGTGTACGTGTAATTCCACAATTTAAAACAAAAATAAGAGCCTGGCCTTAAACAGAAACTCAACGAATGGCAAGAGCCCAGGCTGGGGCACAGGCCAGAACCCTGCCTCCTGGTTCACATCCTGCCATTTGTCCCTGCCCAGCCCCATCTAGGAAGATACCCTCCTTTGGCCCTGTGGCCACTCCTCACTCCGGCTCCTCCCCAGCAGCCTTCTCCCTCCTGAACATGCACAGTCACACATTCCCTGCTCGTAGCCTCCACAGCCTGCTGCAGATACCCCTCTCCCAGGTGCTCAGCTCTCTCACAGTGCCCTGCTATGCAGCTGAGAGCCAGCGCCACTGGGAGGCACGAGCATCTCACCAGGCCAGCCCTGCAGGATCCCCTGCCACTCCAAATCTCCCTTCTGCTAGAGCCCAGGCTAATGAGCTGTTCCGTAGTTGTCATGCCAACCTAAAGGCTACCAGAGGGATTGAAATGCTGGGCCTCTGTTCTTTGTTACCATGGCAAATGCCAGGCTCAGGCTCAAGCCTTGGCACTCACTGGTCTAATAGCCAGCCAACTGAGTTTTAAATGTGGGAGAAGATGGGTACCTGGAGATGGCCATAGAGCAGATGGAAACCCCTAGTTCTGTGATGGTTCTTACTTTATTCACTGATTGAGTATGGGGGGAGAAGGAGTGCATGCCCGCCCCTGCCAGAGCAAGGGTCCATGCACCATGACCCACAGACCCCTGGTTACAAAACAAGCACTCTCCTGCCACATGAAGTGCCTGCCCTCTGTGCTGTGGCTCTGTGCTCTGCTGTGTTTGCACACCCCATGTTTTCCTGGGTACATATGTCTGCCTGGCTTAAGCCCAGAGACCCACAATGTCAGTGTGGGAGGATCTGATGACTGCAGATTTCATACCACTTATTATGTAGACAGGAAAACTGAATGTCCGTGGCAAGGGGGAAAAGCCCTGACTTTGGAATCAAATAAATCTGGGTTCTGGCCAGGTGCACTGGTTCATGTAATCCCAACATTTGGGAGGCCAAGGGAGGTGGATCACTTGGGCCCAGGAGTTCCAACTCCTGCACAGACAACACGGCAAACTCCGTCTCTACAAAAAATGCAAAAAAATTAACCAAGTATGGTGGTGCACATCTGTGGTCCCAGCTCCTTGGGAGGCTGAGGTGGGAGGATCACGTGAGCCTGGGCAGTTGAGGCTGCAGTAAGCTGACATTGTGCCACTGTACTCCAGCCTGGGTGACAAAAATAAATAAATACATTGGTTCAAATCTTGCTTCTGCCATTTGTCAGCTCTCTGTGATGTCAGCAAAAAAAAAAAAAAAGAAGTACCTCTCTGAGCCTCAGTTTCCCTATTTAAAAACATGGGCAATGGTCCTGACACCCTACCTTACTGTGAATAAGTAAAGTACTTATTCAATCACAGGTGCTGGGACAACTGGATATCCCATGGAAAACAAAAAAAGTTCCTTGATTCATACCTGACATCATTTACCAAAACTAATTCCAGATGGACTACAGATCTAAAGTTTGTAGCAGTAAGCACAGGAGGACATCATCCAGTGGTGATGGATTAGAATTGGAAATACTGAATTTGTACTTTTAATATGTGTACATGCATTATACATGATATATGTATATCTATGCCCTAGAGAGAGACAGAAATAAAGATCCATATTGCTCAGTTCTTCTAGAAGGGCCTAGAAGCAGTGACACCCCAGTAGCCATGAGCACACCTGGGGCCCAGATCTTAGTTTCTAAATACCTTTCCTCATTAAAAGGAAGCAGGACTCCTTGCAGAAATGGCTAAATTGGGGGCTGGGGCAAGGAAAGTCCCATGCAGCCTGGAACATCTTGTAAGCACGTGTGTGGCATGCACTGAGAAACTCTGCAGCCTCAGGCAAAGGACTGGCGCCTCATCACTGTGTCAACGCTGCTTCTTTATCCAGATCTTGATGATCCAGCCCTTTGCATGGAAGCTCTATTTCAGGATTTTCACTAAAGGATGATCCACATATTTCTCCTCCTTGTCCTTATCCTCTAGCACTTCTCTCTGTTGTGCTAGACAAAGGATCAGATCCTTGCATCTCTACAGTAAGGATTTCTTTTGCCTTCTAGAACTCAAAAACACCACCTCTGGATTTCCTGTTTTATCTTTCTTCCTCCTCTCATGTTTCCTTCTTAGACTTCTTTCCAGTTTCTTCTATGTTACCTGTGACATCTAGGTAAAATAGAAGCCACTGAGCCTGCATCACTTTCTCTAGATCTTGAGGGCTGAACTCCTGGAACTCCTGTAGTTCCATCGTGTAAAACTTTCCACAAGAGACTGCCAGCACTTTTCTCCCTGTCTTTTTCTGAATATGTAGTCTCTGTATAGCCCATCAGTTTTTATGCACATTTATTCCTTTCATTTTTCAAATAAGTCAAGGTCATTAAATGCAAAGAAAGGCCGAGGAACTATTCCAGATTAAAGGAGACTAAAGAGACAAGACAAATAATGTGATGCATGACCATGGATTATATCCCGGCATGGGAGGGAAGAAGGCTATAAAGGACATTATTGGAACCATGGTGAAATTGAAATAAGGTAGGTAATCAGATAATAGTTTTGTAGCAGTGCTAATTCCTGATTTTGACCATTCCATTGTGGTTATCTAAAAGAATATTCTTGTTCTGAGGAAACACAAACTAATGTATTTGGGGGTAGGGGCAAAAGGAAATAATGTCTTCAACTTTTTCTCAAATGGTTTGAAAAAATTCTAACAAGTGGTGAATCTGGCAAAGAAACTAATAAGTATGTTGATAAAATATAGTAAGCATTGACTGTTAATAATAATGACTAATGCTCAACATCACCAATCATCAGGGAAAATGCAAATCAAAACCACAATGAGACCATTTAGGTTGGTGCAAAGGTAATTGCGGGTTTTGTCATTACTTTCAATGGCAAAAACCGCAATTACTTTTGCACCAACCAAATACCTCACTTCTCTCAGGATGGCCACTGTTTAAAAAAACAGAAAAGAACAAGTGTTTATGAGGATGTGGAAACACTGGAACCCTAGTGCTGGCGAAAATGTAAAATGGTATACTCATAGCGAAAAACAGTATGGAGATTCCTCAAAAAAATTTAAAATAGAATTACCATATGATCCAGCAACCCCACTTCTGGGTATATACCCAAAATAATTAAAAACAGAGTCTTGAAGATATATTTGCACAGCACATTCCCAGCAGCACTATTCACAATAGCCAAAAGATGGAAGCAATGCAAGTGTCCATGGACAGCTGCATGGATAAATAACATGTGGTATATACATACAATGGAATATTTTTCAGCCTTAAAAAAAAAAAAAGAAATTTCTGCCACATGCTACCAAATGGATGAACCCTGAGGACATTATGCTGAGTGAAATGAACCAGATGTAAAAATGACAAATGTTGTCTAATTCCACTTCTATTAGGTATCCAGAGTAGTCCCATTCATAGAAACCAAAAGGAGAATGGTGGGTGCAAGGAGAATGGTGGGTGCCGGGACTGGGGAACAGGTAGTCATTTAATGGGTACAGAGTTTCAGCTTTGAAAATGAAAAAGTTCTGGGGCTCTGTTCCACAACAATGTGCATATACTTAACACAACTGAACTTATATTTACAAAGGGTGAAATGGAAAATTTTATGTTTTTTACTACAATAAAAAAAATCTACCATAAAAAATAATGATGACTAATTGAGTGGAGGTCACATATTAGAATAACACAGAAGACAAAAACAGGGAAAACAGAATAAAAGCATCTTAATATCTATGTATTGATTGGCAAAAAGATACGAACTTTAGGCTGTATTGTTCAAGTATGCACACCAAAAGTTCAAGGGTCCCAAGTACCCATCTGTGGTCTTCATGTACCATTTCCCAATGAAGGGAATGAGGGCTCCATGTCTGGGGGAGGAAGGTGAGCCTGGAATGTCTTATTATGCCAGAAAGCAAGGAAGCAATCAGACACTTAATAGATTGGTCAAAAGGACTCAGAGGCCAACTCAAAGAGGCTTTCCCTGGCCAAAGATGAGGTATTGAGCATCAGTAAAAATAATAACTGCAATGGATGAAAACACACATCACTTAGGTGAAGATCCATCAGTATAGTGATGGTGGGGGAAACCAACCTTGCTGGGGACTTTTGGATTCAACGCATGCATGTCCCTTCAGTCTTGCCCAGGCCCACTAACAAGAGTAAAGAATTTAAGGCCTAAAACCAGAGACAAAGCAAAACAGAAGAGGAGACAAGAGCAACAAAATCTAGACACTGGAAGCAGATGGTGAGTTAGAATTTCCTAATTTAGCAAACTCTAAAGAGCCAAACCCTAAGCCAAAATGAGGAAAGCTGAGAAGCAATCAGATGCATACTGATTGACACTCCCCAGATGCCCCGGAATAGGGGCCCTGGTTACCTTTGGAAGAGGGGATGAAAATGCTACTAAAAATATGAGCTGGTCGAAAGTTTGCTTAAGAAACGGCTGGGTCCCTAGTTCTTCCCGCAGTGCTGCACAGCCAAGAAATGTCCCTTCTCCCTGGCAGAAGACTGGAAGTTTATTCTTTAAAAAAGATAAAACAGAGGGTCTCTGACCTAGAGAGCATCAGACACAAGTGTGTGTTTTGGGGAGGGAGAAGGTCACTCTGCAAACAGGAAGAGACAGTACATGAATATTGATATTTATGGATACATATTTATAATACTGAAACACCCAGCCCTCTCTCTCCACCCCAGCTCCCAGAACACTGACAACCAACTTGTTATACTTCGAACAGAACAGAAGTTCCCTTTTCAAAGACTCTAATCACCTCAGGAGGAAGGACCTAACAATGCTGCCATTGCAAATTTCTAAGTGATACGGCCCAGCCAGACCACTCTCATGAGAAGCCATAGCTGACAACCCTAGCACTATGCTCAAAGCTTCCAGCCACTTTTTCGATAGAGAGAGCTATGAACAAACTCCACCAGACATGTGTGGAGAGCATGTATATATATGAAAAGGCTGAGACCCAAAACGGAGAAAAGCAACCTATACAGGAAGAAAACAACTCTAAAAAAGACAGAAAGGTTTCAATATCACGGGAGAGGTAAGATGGTGCACACATGAACAAAGTATTCATTTAAATTAAAAAGAGAGGGAAGCAAGAACCAAAGAGCCTTTGGACATTTTAAAATACGAAAGCTCTCTGTGTGTAATGTTGATGGCTGCTGGTATATCCCTGGGCCACCAACTGAAGGACTAAGCCTTCTCCCACGCACTGCTTGTCCCCCCAGCCTGCCCTCTGCCCCACCCTGTCCACTGCCTGCAGCCTTTCCCTGCGGTTCGGAGCCTGGCTGGGCACTCACACAGTCTATGTTCTCTGTCATGTTCAGAATGATGTAGTTTTTCCCAGCCAGATTGCTCCAGTCCTTGCAGATCACCTGTGCGAGGAGACAGAAAGAAGGGCGACAGTTACGAAGGCATAGGAAAGGGACAGGGGAGAGAGCCCCGGTCGGAGGCCTTTTGGGAAGCTGGAAGGTGGAGGCCAGTGGAGGCGTATTACAGCGAGGGGGCTGCTGACAGCCTCTGTGAGGCACCATGCCAAGGAGTACAAACTCGAATGTCTTTGGGGACCAAGCAGGGAATGTATTGAGTGAGAGGAGGAGGCCAGGCATTATTCCCAGGAAGTAGGGGACTATATCAAAGGGGCCAGGCTGCAGAGAGCTTGCCCCACATGCTGGCTTTCAAGGGCAAGTTTATTGTTAATATTCTGGGGCTCCTTTCTTTTCCTTGCGGTGTCAGTGGGTGTGAACACTGACTTGTGCCTGCTATGCACATGGGTGTCGGTGGGGAGGAGGAGGGTGGTGAGATGGGATGGGGAAAGCACAGGTCAGCCACTAGCTCTAGCTGCTGGTAGAATCAGTGCAGAAGTCTAAGTGTGGGCTGGGTGCGGTAGCTAATGCCTGTAATCCCAGCACTTCAGGAGGCCATAGCGGGTGGATCACTTGAAGTCAGGAGTTCCCGACCAGCCTGGCCAACATGGTGAAACCCTGTCTCCACTAAAAATACAAAAATTAGCCAGGCATGGTGGCACATGCCTGTAATCCCAGCTACTCAGGGGGCTGAGGTATGAGAATTGCTTGAACCTGGGCGGTGGAGGTTGCAGTGAACCGAGATCATGCCCACTTCACTCCAGCCTGGGCGACAGAGTGAGACTCCATCTCGGGAAAAAAAAAAAACAAAAGATGTCTAAGGGTGGCAATGGTAACACATGAACAAATGAAACCCAGGCCAGGCCACCAAGTTTCTCCAAAGGCCTTTGCACAGAAGTGTGGGGAGAACACCCATTGTTGGCCCTGAGGTTTGCATCCCCACAAGTTCCATGGGGTTCTACGTGCTGTGGAAAGGGCCTCCCTCCTCAACCTGGCAGATCCTGCCCCCATGCCACACTAGCCCTGGGGATGGCCAGGCTCTGTGAAGAAGGTACAGGGTGGTGGCCCGCATGCCCCTCACTTTACCTGCGTAGAATCCCAGGGTATCCTGGATTGAGCTTCAGCTGCCTGCCCTTCTAGGAGCTGCTGGTTGAGATCTTCTTGTCCCAAGGTAGCAGAGGAAGGTGTCAGTTCCATGTCTCCAGGGGCCAGTGGGGAAGAGGCTGAGGTTCTAGAGCCAAGGGGATCTTCATCTGGGTGCTCGGCCCCACTGGGAGCTGTGGTTTGAGGGAATGAAGGCAAGGCCGGCACCTCCTCGTGCTGGCCAGACAAACCAGCTGCTCCTGCAGTGGCTTCCTCGCTTGCTTCCTGAGGAGCCTCGAACTCTACCCCAAGCCCTGCAGCTGGCAGCACTGTGGCCTCTGCCTCTTGGCTGGTGGAGTCCTGGTCCCCCGGAGTCACTGTAGTTGGGGTGACTGAAGGCAGCAGCAAGCTGGGCCCCATGCTGCTCTCCACCTCCACACCTGATGAGGCCTGGTCCCCGGAGTCTTCATGCCTGCTTTTGGTGGCCCCTGGGGTCTGGCTGCTGCTGGTGAGAGAAAAGTCACGGACCTGAGGCTTGGCTTCTTCTTGGGATCCATTCACAGGGAGCAGCTCCTCCTCTTCCTCCTCCTCTTGTTTCTCTACCTCTTCCTTCTCCCTCTCCTCCTCTTCCTCTTCCTCTTCTTCCTCCTCTCTGGGAGGCATATGCCAGGGAGGCTCAACCAGATTCATCTTGGGCAAGGGAGAGGGGAGGTTTGGCAGCTCTTGAGCCTGGCTGGTGTCTTCAATGGAACCTGCCTTCTCAGTTAAGTCAGGAAAAACATAATCTAAGGACAGAGATGAAAAGTTCATTCACTTGTTTCATCATTCATTGCTTTACTCAGTATTTACTGGGCAGATGGCATAAAAGAACCACAATACACTGACAGGGCAGGGGTCATCAGGTCATGATGGAGAGGCCAGGGGAGCAGACTGTGGGAGGACACAGGGACAAGGCTAGTCACTGTTTCCTTTATGATGATAAAATAATACAAATTTATCACCAAAACTCAATGAACACAGGAATGTAGAAAGTTTTGTATATTGCATTCCTCCAAAAGAGCCATGAGTAGTTTGAGGTATATATTCTCCACTGTGTTTGTAATGTGCTTGCTTGTCCTCATCTGGGGATTTCACCAAGAAGATCCCACAACAACCCACTAGGAAGGGTCCCCCTACTCCTTTTCTAGTGAGTCGTTATAAGAGTCTTCTTGGTGGAGTCCCCGAAGGAGGTCTGAGAGCCCTCTCATCACTGGAGGAAGTGAGACCCCTCAATTATGACCATTGTTCCTCAACTGTGCTCTTTTTCTGTAATTTAGGCCCTGACAGGAAATGAAAAAGATGTAGGGAGAGCCAGAGAGAGGCCAGGGGCTGAGCCCAGAGTTTTCCAGGGCCTCCCAGAATGTTCAGGGTCACTGTTGGCAATGGGAGAGGGGTTTTTATTCTCCCTGCCATTCTTGGGAATTACATTTTGAAGCAGAGAAGTTAGGAGACTTCCTGGAGATCAGATTGTTTTCTGGCTTTTCAATGAACCCTAGGCCTCTTCCAAATAACTATGCATGAAAGTTATACAACAAGTTTTTTGGAAATTCATTCAAAATATCAGAAGCTGTATCTAGGAAGCAACTTTTATTGGCTGCCATTTTGTTTCAAAATAATAAATATTGTAGTTTTAAAATACTCTTTAGAAAGGAGAGTGGTGGGAACACTTTAAGATAGCGAACTAAAGGTATTCATTTACCTCCTCCTCCAAAACTTTTATCAAATGACAAAAACAATTTTAACTGTCAAAATGAAGATAAAAACATTTTAGAGAAATTTCTGGGAACATGGAAAGCAGATGAGATTATAGGAACAGATAACCCCTCAGCCAAAATAAACATAGGAAAAAATAGCAGGGGAGGAGGCAGGCTTTCTTACCCAGAGTTAGGAAGAGGCACAACTGTGGGAGCAAGGATGTAGAACACAGAAAATTCAGAGAACAGAAGGTAATTTTTAAAAGTCTAATTAGTATCCTCAGAAAGATTACAAAATATTGCATCCCTAAAATAAGACGCCACTCAGAAAATCAAGTAATCTTTAAAAAAGAAAAATTTCTTGGATATTGAAAGTCAATAGTTGATATTTAAAAATTCAACGGATTGAAAATTCAAATTTTTAATGGCTGGGAAAAAAAAAAGTCAAGGAAAAGCCTCTAGGGCAAAAGTGAGAAGACAACAGATAAGAGTTAAAAGATACAGACAACCAATGTAGGAGATCTAATACCTAGCTAATATGATTTCTGGAAAGATAGAACCAACAAAATGGAGAATAATGGAGAGAAACAAAGAAAAAAAGTTTCAGAGCTGGCAACATGAATCTTTGCAATGAAAGCTTGTATCATCAAGGTGAATGATAAAAGACTTACACCTAGCCTCATTCTCATGTGATTTTAGAATTATAAGGAGCAAGAGAAAATCTTAACAGCTCTCAGAGAAAGAACAGGTTATCTGTAAAGGAACAAGAAACAGATTACCAAATTATCATGAAGCTTCTAATTAATATCAGTAGCCTAGAGGAAGAATTTAAAAATGCACTGAAAAATCTGAGGGATGTTTATTTTGAACCTGAAATGTTATATCCAAATAAATGACTACTCAAGTGTGATTGCAAAATAAAGACATTCTCATACATGCAAAGATTTAAAAGTGTTACTATCCACAGATTCCAAGAGATTTAAGTAAGTTATTTAAGAAACCAAAAAAAAAAAAAAAAAAAAAGACATGGGAAATCAAGAAACATGAGAGGAATGCAATGAAAATATATCTCAGGATGGAAACTGTGCAGTAAGCCTGGAAAGCAATTGGTTCAAATTAGAACACACAGAGAGAGCTCTGAGAACGATTATTTCAAAAAGAAAAATTGATTCCCTGTAATAAAAAGTATGACTTAGAAGCTGAACAATCCTAGTGACAACTGAAAGCCCACTATAGTATTTAAATCAATAATTAGAATATTCTATCCAGTCCACTTCTGTTAATTAGACTTTTTGAGTAGCAGATCCTCCCCCTCTTCCACCTACTGCACACACTCTGTAGTGAAGTCACTACAGATAAATAAGAAAGAAAGAACAACCAAGATTCACAAGACATTTTAAGAAAGCCAGCCTGATGAAGAAGCATAAGGGTGGGACCATAAAGCAACTGACCTCTAGGAAAAGTTAGTCTAGTTAACAAAAGAGAATTCAGAAAAGTTTCTTGTTAATATCTTCAGAAAGATTCAGGAGGAAATCACACCCACAAAACAAGTATATAGAAGAATAAATATATTTTACCTCAATGTAAGTAAGAACTTTATAATAGCCAGATCTATCCAGAATTAAGATATAATGCATGAAAACATAACTGAAATGGGCTGGATGATTACTTGATAGGAATACTGGGTAACAGAATAGGAGTCAGATGGGTGCCTAGGAAATACAATATATGAAATCACTTACAAGCATAATATTTCATTATTGGAAGATTAATCTGACAGCAATTTACAAGATTAGGTGAAGGAGTAGATGAATGAAAGTGCAAAGAAGAGTCAGGGAGTTGCTGCAGTGATTCGGGAGAGATGCATGGCGGTGATGACACTGGAGATGATGAGAAAAGAGCAGACTCAAGAGATGACTCTGAAAGAGAAGTAATCAGATGCGTGAGCTAGATGGCCAACAGGGAGAAGCTGCGGGAGTAGCCAAGCCATTAATAGAGATGGTGAAGTTCAGAGGAAAGGAGTATTGGAAACCTTCAGGACGCACTTAAAATAGCTGATGGATTCAATGCAGCCTAGGATATGGCAGGAATATGGTGGATGGTGACACACCCATCAGCAGAATCCCATGGGGTGGGGAAGTCCTGGGAGGGCAAGCTGACTAAAACGATCTCTCTACTCAATTTGGTGCTGACTTTCCAAAAGTCAGAGAGAGCATCAACATCTCCAGAGGGCACCAACAGAACTCCCTAAACTGTGTACAGCCTCCTCAGAGATGCATCATCAGTCACGCTGTCGGCAGCATGATCTGGGACTCAGCCACTAACTTATCTGCGCACGCAGTGGTAAGTCCCTCCAACTTCTCTGGGCTTCAGGTTTTGTTCTGCTTTTGAGACAGGGTCTCACTCTGTCACCCAGGCTGGAGTGCAGTGGTGCAATCACGGCTCACTGCAGCCTCAAACTCCGAGGCTCAAGTGATCCTCCCACCTCGGCCTCCCAAGCAGCTGGGACCACAGGGCCACTACACCCCGCTAAATTTTTTTATTATTTGTAGAGACAGGGTCTCTCTACACTGCCCAGGCTGGTCTCGAACTCCTGAGCTCAAGCAATTCTCCTACCTCAGTCTCCTGAGTAGCTGGGACTTACTGGCACACACCACCACACCTAGCTATTTTTTTTTTTTTTTTTTTTTTTTTTGAGATGGAGTCTTGCTCTGTCACCCAGGCTGGAGTGCAGTGGCGCGATCTTGGCTCACTGCAACCTCTGTCTCCCAGGTTCAAGCAATTCTCCTGCCTCAGCCTCCTGAGTAGCTGGGACTATAGGCATGCACCACCACGCCCGGCTAATGTTTGTATTTTTAGTAGAGACAGGGTTTCACCATGTTGGCCAGGCTGGTCTCGAACTCCTGACCTCATGATCCACCCACCAAAGCCTCCCAGAGTGCTGGGATTACAGGCGTGAACCACCGCGCCCAACACCTGGCTAATTCTTTAAAATTATTATTTGTAGAGATGGGGTCTCCCTGTGTTGCCCAGGCTGGTCTTGAACTCCTGGGCTCAAGCGATCCTCCTGCCTTGGCCTGCCAAAGTTCCAGGATTACAGGCATGAGCCACTGCACCTGGCCTGGGCTTCAGTTTTTATGTGGAATGAGGATGATGGTATATATGATTTCTAAGGTTCTTCATATCACTGATATTTTAAGCTTTGGATATAGTTCTGATAAATGTGTCTTATACACCAATGGCATTACAAACAACTCTAGTGTCTTAAGTAAGAATAAAATAGGATTCACTAGATTACAAATTTTTGATGCCAAGCAAAGCAATTGTCTTCATCCCTACATTCCCAGCACCTAACATAGTGCCTGGCCCAGAGTAGAAAGGAGAGCAACGTGTGTTTTTGAATTCTTCTGCCTCCTAAAAACCAGGGCCTGTGCCTCCAAGGGGTAAGAGGCCCTCCCGTCACTGCACAGACTTCTTTACTGTCTCTATGAGTTCCTCTCCTGCCTCCCAAAATGCAGTCCCTTCCAGGGTCAGCCTCTGACTCATCATTTCCACACTTCTTCCTTGGTCAGTGCTCATTCCACAGGCTGCATCTATTTTCTCTATGCTAAAGGCTCCCAAATTTACATCTTCTCCAGAGCTCCTCGCTTTTTTCCAGCCTCTCACTCCAGTGACTTGACAAATCACTGAACGCTTGCTCACTGGCACTTGGAATCAGCAGTCCTTTCCTACTTCCTTACCAGCTCTCAAGATCTAAAATTATTCCTTTTCTTTTTACAGTGTGGTCTCAGTTTCACTGCTTATCAGCTGTATGATCTTGGACATGCTGCTTAACCTCCATGTGTCTCCCTTTCCTTAAGTGTAAAATAAAAATAGTACCTGCCACACAGGGCTCTGGTCAGGGTTCAGTGAGGTGACCCTGCGCACAGTCCGCAGTGCAGAGTAAACACTCAGTTAACTGTGGGGGGTCCTCCACCTCCTCCTGCTATTATTATTGTTGTTGTTATTATCATTATTATTATTTGAGACAGAGTCTCACTCTGTTGCCCAGGCTGAAGTGTAGTGGTGTGATCTCGGCTCACTCCAACCTCCACCTTCCAGGTTCAAGCAATTCTCCTGCCTCAGCCTCTAGAGAAGCTGAGATTACAGGCACCTGCCACCAAGCCCAGCTAATTTTTGTATTATGGCTGGGCATGGTGACTCATGCCTGTAATCCCAGTACTTTGGGAGGCCAAGCGGGGGGTGGATCACCTGAGGTCAGGAGTTCAAGACCAGCCTGGCCAACATGGTGAAATCCCGTCTCTACTAAAAATACAAAAATCAGCCAGGTGTGGTGGTAGGTGCCTGTAATCCCAGCTGTTTGGGAGGCTGAGGCATGAGAGTCGCTTGAACACGGGAGGCAGAGGTTCCAGTGAGCCGAGATTGCACCACTGCACTCCAGCCTGGGTGACAGAGTGAGACTCTGTCTCACAAAAAAAAGAAAGAAAGAAAAATTTGTATTTTTAGTAGAGACGGGGTTTTGCCATGTTGGCAAGGCTGGTCTCAAACTCCTGACTTCAGGTGGATTCGCCCACCTTGGCCCTCCAAAGTGCTGGGATTATAGGCGTAAGCCACCGCACCTGGCCATCCGCCTGCCATTATTATTATTAAAGGAGTTATTACCTGGTAAAATAATAACAGGAAAAGTGGAAGTGTCTCCATAGAATGAGGAGCAGGATAAGCACTTGAGTTTTTATTTTTCATTTTTTATACCGAATGTAACTAAAGCCTAAGCACTTGAGTTTTAAGTCAAAGAAAATCTAGGAAAAAGGGCAGGGCAGGAGGGGATTACTCATCTGTTGACAAGTGTAAATATGATTTCAGTATTACAAATGTCTCCTAAAACAGAAACAGAATTACCGGGAGGCCTGATGGGAGCACACACTAGGAACCAGTGGGGTGAGGGGCGTCTGTGTGGGCAGCTGCAGGGCAAACACCAGCAGTGTGAAAGCAGGGGTCCCAGGAGAGGGCCCGTGAGACTGGATCCAAATGGGAGTTGAGAATAAAGAGTGAAGAAGCCAGGCTTTACCCAAGAGCAGAACCACGGTACGATTCACTAAGAAGATACAGCATCACGTCCACAATATGCCTGCCAAAAATGCAGAGCCTGAATCTGACCATGGGGAAATTTGAGACAAACTGAAATTGAGGGGCAATCTACAAAATAACTGGCCTGCACTCCAACAATGTCAAGGTCATGAAAGACAAAGAAAGATTAGAGGGTTTTCCAGAATAAAAAAGAGACAAAAGAGACATGCGGACTAAATGCAGTACGTGATTCTGGACCGGATAGTGGACTATGAAACCCTGCTCTTTTTTTCTTTTGCTATAAAAGACACTACTGGGAAAACTGGCAAAGTTTGAATAAAGTTTGTAATTACAGAAGCATATTGTATCAGTGTTAATTTCCTGATTTTGATCATCCTGCTGTGGTTTTTAGGAGAATGCTTTGTTCCTAAGAAATGCACACTGAAGTATTTGGAGCAAAGGAGCATCATGTCTGCAACTTACCATTAAATGGTTTAGCAAGAAGTACAGATCTGCATCTCCATATCCATACATGTACACATACACACTGATACAGCAACTGCGGCAAAGTGTTAATAATGGGGGAGTCCGAGCAAGGGGTGGACGGAATTATTCTTGCAACTTTTCTGTAAATTGAAAATTTTTTAAAATAAGGAGTAACAGAGAGAGCGTGCACATGTGAGAGACACTTTCTCTCTTTTTTTTTTTTTCTTTTTTGAGATGGAGTCTCACTCTGTCACCGAGGCTGGAGTGCATTGGCACGATCTTGGCTGACTGAAACCTCCGCCTCCTGGGTTCAAGCAATTCTCCTGCCTCAGCCTCCTGAGTAGCTGGGACTATAGGCACACGCCACCACGCCCAGCTAATTTTTTGTATTTTTAGTAGAGACGGGGTTTCACCTTGTTGGCCAGGCTGGTCTTGATCTCTTGACCTCGTGATCTGCCTGCCTTGGCCTCCCAAAGTACTGGGCTTACAGGAGAGAGCCCCTGCACCCGGCCTGAGACACTGACTTTCACTACAGGTCAGCGAACATGCTTGAGCTGTCAAGAGGGGAATAGAAACATGGCAAGGGACAGGGCAGGCTATCCTGGCTGAGAGCGCAGAGCCCTGTGGCAGGAAGGAGCCACACCGCCCTGAAGCAGGTGAGACAGTTTTGAGAGACAGGGAGGAAGGTGCTTTTCCCACTCAGGTGTCCAAGGAATACAGATCAGGCTTCTAGGGACTCGCTGCATTGAGAGGGGAGAGGAAGCCTCAGCAGGCACTTTGGAGGTGAAAAAGGATCAAATTGGGAATGGAAGAAGAGAAACAAAGAAGTGAAGCTGAGCAGGAAAAGGAGGGAGATGAAGATGAGGAGAGTAAAGAGAGGGGAGAGGCAAGAGGAGAGGGAGGAGAGAGGGGACACATGACAGGGCTACCTGCCCTCCCAGCCTGCCCTCAGTGACCCAGGGCAAGTCCTTGATGCCCACACCCTCAGCCCTGCTGCCGTGGACAGCTCTGATTCCAGAGGGAGGGTCTGACCAGCTGAGCGCTCCAGGGAATCCCTTCCTACCCCATCCACTTCAGGCTCAGGAGAAGGGTCCCTCCACGAAGCCCTTTTAGTTTGTAGCCAAACCCCAAAAGCGTGTCTGGGACCAAGGTGTACCTCTAGAGCCCCACACCTGGACACAGGTGTGAGGAAGCCGAGCCGCCCGGGAGACACACTGGAGACACGTGGAAGTCTAAGGGCTGGCTCCATGGATTCATCCCTGTCCTCAGGAAGAGCTGGGGCACTGAAGGATGAGAAAGGTCATCCAAGGCTCAAGCCCTCCAGGGAGAGGCTCGGGCTGGGCCTCGGAGCATGGGAGGCCACGAATGTCTAAGCTGCAGCTCAGAAGACACCTGGGGCAGACCCCCTCGTTGCACAGGAGAGCCCTGGAGGACC
The DNA here is from genome assembly GCF_000001405.40 of Homo sapiens. Taxonomy (NCBI): domain Eukaryota; kingdom Metazoa; phylum Chordata; class Mammalia; order Primates; family Hominidae; genus Homo; species Homo sapiens. Next base: position 127,652,441 of record NC_000003.12, on the reverse strand, counting down.
TCCTGGATTGATTGCAGGATAACACTTAGGCTCCTGGGCTCCCGACCCTCCCAGAACTGCTGGGAATGGCACTGTGAAGTCACAGCCCCCCCTGGTGGCTCTAAACAGAAACCACATGTTCCCCAGAGCCCTCAGAACAGTTGGGTCTCCAAATCCCAGACTCAGGGATTTTACAGGTAGACAGAGGCCCTGCAAGAGCAAAGGGCCCATCTCTCGCCTTTTCCACATGAGGGAGCCCAGGAGAGGAGGATTCTTGCTCTAAGTTGTGATGCTAGACTTGTCACAGTTGTAAAGTTGTAAGACTCTTAGACTCTTGTGTGGTTAAAGCCAGTGTCTTTTGACACATCCTGGTCATTTAGTCCAGCACCCGGGCTTGGCTTGGGATGCTGGACAGGAGCAAGCTGACAAGCAGAATCATGACCTCTCCCCAGTCTGCCCGTACCTTTGTGGCCGCAGCCAACCTCCTTAAAGCTGGGCTTGAATCACAAGAGTGGCTGGCGTTAAGAGCCCCAGGCCAAGCTTCAGGGTTCTGGAGGCATGGGCTGGAATTCTGGGTGGCCACTTGCCTCTGTGTGCCACACACCCACCTCTCCATGATGTGAGGCTAATACCTCAGGTTGTTACAAAGATGAAGTGGCATCAGGAATGCAAAACACCCAGCCCACAGAAGGCACACTTTCCTTCTGTCACACTCCATGTTCTCTGCTCCTCTCAGCATCCACACAGCCCAGCTCACGGCAGGTGTATCCGTGGTTAGGGTCAGGGTCCTAACACGGGAAGGGACCACAGGAGGCTACCTGACGAGGCCTCAGCCCTCTGGCAGGCACTGGTGAGTCTAGAGAAGATGGGCTGGCAATTATCTTCAAGAATATGGCTGGGTCTCTTTAGAGAGGCATTTCTGTGTTATTGACTTACCCCTACACCCCCATTTGCCTAAACCCAGCTGTGATGGTTCCTTTACAACTCAAGTCCATCTCTGTTTCATCTGGTAAGTGAGCAGCACCTGCTAGCACCGCCTTCAGAGGAAACAATGTACATAGTCTCTTAGTTGCCCCTAAACCTAGCTTCTTTTCCTGGGGCTAAACAACTGTAATTATTCTTTATTCTCAACCTTTCTGTTTTCATCCTTCTCTTGTGAAAACTCTGGATTCACCCTGGTGTTTTTTGTTTGTTTGTTTTGAGATGGAGTCTTAGTCTGTCGCCCAGGCTGGAGTGCAATGGCACGATCTCAACTCACTGCAACCTCCGCCTCCTGGGTTCAGGCGATTCTCCTGCCTCAGCCTCCCGAGTAGCTGGGATTAAAGTGCCCGCAACCACATCTGGCTAATTTTCGTATTTTAGTAGAGATGGGGTTTCACCATGTTGGTCAGGCTGGTCTTGAACTCCTGACCTCAGGTGATCCACCCGTCTCGGCCTCCCGAAGCGTTGGGATTACGGGTGTGAGCCATCGCACCCAGCCTCACCACAGTTTTAGGAGTATTACAGCTGGGCGCGGTGGCTCACGCCTGTAATCCCAGCACTTTGGGAGGCTGAGGTGGGTGGATCACGAGGTCAGGAGATGGAGACCATCCTGGCTAAAACGGTGAAACCCCGTCTCTACTAAAAATACAAAAAAAAATTAGCTGGGTGTGGTGGTGGGTGCCTGTAGTCCCAGCTACTCAGGAGGCTGAGGCAGGAGAATGGTGTGAACCCAGGAGGCGGGGCTTGCAGTGAGCCGAGATCGCACCACTGCACTCCAGCCTGGGCGACAGAGCAAGACTCCGTCACAACAACGACAACAACAAAAAAAACAAACAAAAAACAAAAAAGAGTGTTACAAAATCAGCACAGGGGGTACACAGTAAATATTTGCTGAATGAACTATTGAAAACTGAACAAGATTCACTAACTTGAGACTAATTGATGCAAAATGTAAAGGGGTTTCTCCACTCCAGTGGCACTACTGTCATTTATCACAGCTGGTAAGCTGAGCTCTCCCGCGCCCCCTGTGATGGGTTGGTGCTGGCTCAGATGCAGCTCCAGCTCACCCTGATGAAGCCCCAGGCCTGGGTCCCCTAGGCCTTATTTCTCCGCTTTCTTTTAAACTCATTATGGTGCTGGCTTTGTTCCCTAAATAGATCATTTTTCCCTCCTATATTTCATCACAGTTCTGTATAGGTTTCTTTCCCCAGTTTATCGAAGTCACTCTGGACTTTACTTCTATCTCTCAGGGCAGCCATAATCCCAGGGATGAACTTCAGCACAGGCTGAAATATCAATGAACTGATTCTTCTATTCAAGAGACAGAATTAAAACAGGCATAAGGGCCAGAGCCCTTGAAAGATCACTTTAAATGTCCCTTTAGGTTAATGTCAAGTCACTGAAAATTGTCCCCTCACTACAACTCTCAAGTCAGTTATCCAACTGAGTGTTAATATAAAAACACTCAAAATTAAAAATAAATATGTCTAAAACAGAGGTGCAAGGGAAGACGTTTTAGTATAACTTAAAACTACTTTTTTATTTAAGACAAAGTCTTGTTCTGGTGTCCAGGCTGGAGTGCAGCAGTGTGATCTGGGCTCACTGCAGCCTCTGTCTCCTGCGTTCAAGCAATTCTCCTGCTTCAGCCTCCTGAGTAGCTGGGATTACAGGCACCCACCACCACACCCAGCCAATTTTTGTATTTTTAGTAGAGACGGGGTTTCACCATGTTGGCCAGGCTGGTCTCGAACTCCTCACCTCAGGTGATCCACCCGCCTCGGCTTCCCAAAGTGCTGGAATTACAGGCGTAAGCCACCATGCCTGGCTTAAAACTACTTTTTGATAGTCAACCTCAATAGTCATCAAAGGAATATAAAGTAAACTGCAAAATGCCAAAATCTTTGGACTACCAACCTGACAAGTATATGTATACATTCAAAGTCATTCATGCCTAGTATTGGAAGGGTGAGGGATGGGAAGGAAAGCAGGCCACATTTCTGGAGAGCTACTGAGTCACAGGAACGAGAAGCTTTAAAGACAAATATTCTGAACCTACAATCTCACTTCTGGAAAGGTACCCTAAGGAGACGATTAGGGACGCTCACAGTCATGTGGCTTTATAGATCCCCATCATGGCACAGTCCATGTAGCAGAAGACTGGGGTCCAGCACCCACATGGCAGGGGACTGCCCAAAGAAATGATAGACCCGCCTTATACTGGGAGACCATGGCAGCCTTGAACAGGCTGCAGAGCTGTGTGTGCTGGCTTGGAAAGAGGTTTCTAAGTGAAACAGCAAGATGTGTATACCACAGTGTCCACTATTGTCCATTTTTTGTAAAAGCATATTTTTATATATGTCCTATAAAGGAAAAAAAAAAAGTCTGGAAAGAGCTGGGTGCAATGGCTCATGCCTGTAATCCCAGCACTTTGGGAGACCAAGGCAGGTGGATCTCCTGAGGTTTGGAGTTCAAGACCAGCCTGGCCAACATGACAAAACCCCGTCTCTACTGAAAATACAAAAATTAGCTGGGGGTGGTGGCACCTGCCTGCAGCCCCAGTTCTCAGGAGGCTGAGGCAGGAGAATTGCTTGAATCCGGGAGACAGAGATTGCAGTGAGCTGAGATCGCACCAGTGCACTCCAGCCTGGTCGACAGAGCAAGACTCCGTCTCAAAAAAAAAAAAAAAAAAAAAAAGAAATACAAAAATTAGCTGGGCATAGGGGCACACACCTGTAATCTCAGCTACTCAGGAGACTAAGAATCACTTGAACCCATGCAGCAGAGGTTGCAGTGAGCCAAGATCACACCACTGCACTCCAGCCTGGGCAAAGAGTGAGACTGTCTCAAAAAAAAAAAAAAGTCCAGAAAGAGATAGTCCAAAACGTTAACATTCACTGACTGAATCACTGGATTATAGGTGATTTTTATTTTCTTCTTTTAATTGCTGTTTTAAATTTTTATATGTTGATATTTATTACTAGCACAGAACAAGAATGACAAGGCTTTTGTTTTGGTGTCTAAGTAAAAGTGCTCTCTTTGTTGCTCTGTCCACAGGCTCCACAGCTATCGGCCCATCCTAAGGACATGGATACACCTGATGTGTGGGCAATGACCCAGAAGGTCAAATCATTCTACAGCAGACACAATCACAACAAGGCTTCGCTGTACAGGAACCAGCTCCAGGTCCCAGCAGACAGCTGCTCGGTCGGTCTGCTTTCTCCAAAATTGATTACGGCAATGATAATTAAAGTAGCCTAATGAAGGACTTTGTATTGAGGGGAGCAGCAGATCTTGAAGTAGAACTCTCAGATTTGAGATTTAGCTCTGCCACTATGTCATTTAGAGCCACTTTTAAATCTCTGTCAGCCAGCTTCTTTAGCTGTAAAACAGTGATCTAATCATGCCTGCTTTTACAGATTTCATCAGGTTGCTGTGAGGTTAAAAAAAAATCCAAGTGAAAATGACATATGAAGTATAGGCACTTTATGAGTGTTCCCTACTCAAGCACAGTACTGTTGTCTCATGCTCTCTTTCTGTTAATAGCACCTCAATTCTACTCTGGGGGACATTCCTCCTCTCTTTTTGGTCTGGAATGTCCCCTGGCTTCAGGGACAGCTCAACATGGGCCTGGACAGTCAAATTCCATCCCCAAGCTTGGGACTCAGGGAGACCATCCAGTGACTGTTCCTGAAGTGCTGGGAAGGCAGAGCTCCCTTTCTGCGGGGTGCTGAGTGATGGGACGACAGTGTGGAGCTACTGGGCTCTCCAAGCCGGTGCCCAGGACCAGCCTGCCTGAGAACGAAGCCAGCAAGGGAAAGCCGAGCATGACTGATGGGACAGGGCAGGCTCCAGCACGTTGAGGGCGGCACGCCGAGTGCTGGAGCTGGAAGCCTGTTCCTGGACCCCCGTTCTTCAGCCAATAAAGTCCCCTTTTATCAGACAGGCCCGTGAGCCTGTCTGAGTTGGGTATCTAGGACTTGCCAACCCCAAAGATTAAAGTGTTTCTTGCAGAACACTTTAATTTGCTCACTCACTAGGAAAATTAAAACTGCATGCAAGACAATTTCCTTAAGGAGCTTAGAAAATGAAAGGGCTAGAGGGGTCAGTGGGGACAGTCTCGAATGAGTAGGTAACCTGAGAGACTGCTCCTAATCATTAACAATTGTGCATGAATTAACTGGTCAGGCTGTAACTTCACTTGATGCTAGCTGGTGGAGCAGCAATTCGCATTCCATGTTTTTTTCCCTGCTTTGTTGAGGTTGCTCTTTTCACTTGAAATGTCACAGAATCATAATATTTTCAAGCTGCAAAGACTTCAATCTATTATTCCCAGGTCTCATTTTGCAGATGAAGAGACTGAAGCCAACATTAGAAAAGCAGCACACTCAAGGTCACACTGCTCATTATCCACCAAGCAGAAACTCCACCAGCTGTTTTTCCCACTGGGCCCGGGGACCATCATTACAGATGGAGAAGGAAGGCATCAGCTCTACCTGAGGCCCAACACACTAGAAATGGGATGTATGACAAAGTCCTAGTGACAGAATGGACTGGTTTCCTGTCTCACATGTGTCATCAATGTGCTCCCTTGGCAAGAAGCCAGGCCCAGGGCATCAGTGCTCAGGGATACCGACTCCAGATTCGGCTCTGCCACACACAAGCTGTGTGGCCTTGGGCAAAGGTCTGAACCTCCCTTGGCCCAGCTCACCATTTGTCAAGCAAAGAGAATAACTGCCACCTGGCTGAGCTCACAGAATGGTTGTGAAGTCCAAATGAGCTAACTCAAAATTCTATGGAGCCAGGCGTGGTGGCTCACGTCTGCAATCCCAGCACTTTGGGCGGCCGAGACGGGCAGATCACGAGGTCAGGAGTTTGAGACCATCCTGGCCAACATGGGGAAACCCCGTCTCCACTAAAAATACAAAAATTAGCTAGGCATAGTGGTGCACCCCTGTAATCCCAGCTACTTGGGAGGCTGAGGCAGGAGAATCACTTGAACCTGGGAGGCGGAGGTTGCAGTGAGCCAAGACTGTTGCACCATTGTACTCCAGCCTGGGCAACAGAGTGAGACTTCATCTAAAAAAAAAAAAAAAATCTATGGAAAAATGGTGATAAGTACCACATAGAATATGACATTAGTGCTAGTCTCCAGCAAAATCACTGTGCTGAGAGGTGACATGACAGGGCAGAGAGGCTTTGGAGTCTAATAACTTGGGTTTGAATCCTGATTCTTACATTTACTTGCTGGGCTGTAAATTCAAACTCCCTAAGCCTCAGGTTTGCTTATCAGCTAAATGGAAGTAAGAATATATACTTACATTTTTCAGTGGACGTTAAATGAGAACCCACAACCCCTAACATAGTGCTGGGCACATACTGGGTGTTGAATACATTGATTGATGTACTTGTACTTGATCTGAGATTGGCCTGTCTGCAGCATGGTTTTCAGCAGTCCCTGCTACTGCTGCATGGAGTTCAATGTCCCTAATGGCCATGTTAGGATAGCACTTGGCACAGTCAATCTGGACTCTGCAGGACTCCCAACCCAGGCATGCCCTCTCAAGGTTCTTTTGACTCCTCCAACCCCCAAGAGGTGATCCACCTCCTTCTCCCCAAGAACCCCTAGACAGAAGCCTGTGGCTCCGGGGCACAAGAGCAGACAAGAATAGGGGGGTAGGGCACGCCACTGTCCCCTGGGCTGCCTCCTACACCAGCCTGACTATTCGCTGTCAGCCTGCCACCTTAGCCACTTTCTCTTCTGTCATGTCCTAATCATATGCCATCAAGGTGCTGCAAGAAAACAGAAGCAGGGGTCACTAGCCTGATTTCAGGGCCACTGCCAGTACACGGAGATGTCCCCTCTGGGCAAATGAATTAGAAAAAGGTGCTCCTCCCACCCAGCCCATGGCCTGGTTGGCAGGGTGTATGCTGGACTTCAGCTCCAACTCCCATGCTCGGTCAGGAGCCCCGGACAGGGCACCACCAGCATAACCACGTGCACTGGTCCTGCTCATTGGTCAGAGCTGGCAAAAGCCTCTTGAAGCTAGTCCTCTTGAGCTAGGTACTCAAGGACGAATACATATCCACTAGCACATCAGGATGGAGAAGAGCTTCCCAGCAGATGGGACAAGAGGAACAAGTGCATCACAGGCTTAGGGAATAGGCCAGGCTGTTGTCAGTGAGAAGACACTGACTCTAGATCCAGCTCCATTACATCCAAGCAATGTGTCCTTGGGCAAAGCACCCTACTTCCCCATGCCTCAGTTCAACTCTGCCAAGCAAGGAAGAGAACAAGCTGATGATGAGCTAATCAGATGCATGCTGGAGCAAGGAAGGAGAAGAGGCTGGGGAAGGCTGGGGCCGGACTATCAAGAGCATTTTCTGCCATGCTAATAAGTTCAGCCTTTAACCTGTGGGCTTTGGGGTTTGAGAAGGGGTTTGTTTGCTAGTTTGTTTGAGAAGAAGATGGGCAACTCCAGTTTTTTCACAGGATCATGGTCAGGTAGTACAGAGA